>NC_000011.10:41575151-41878181 GCF_000001405.40 Homo sapiens | reverse complement strand
CTTCAGGGCACATTCAGAGAAATTTCCAATTCTTGTCATGGATTATGACATGTTTTCCCCTTGATAAGACAACAGAAGTGTGTATTGGACATTTAAGCAGATTTCAGTGTGGAAGTTCTCAACACGCTGATTTTCCCAGGACTGCTTCTGGGTAAGCTCACCTACCTTCTTCATTGTTTAAGGGTGAAAAATCTCATTGTTTATGAGATTATTTTTATTTTATTTATTTCGTCTTTTCTCTTCCTACTCTACACTTTCATACTTTTTTAAACTTCAGAATTATTCTAGTGCAAATTAAACTCAGATTTTGAAGTCTCTCCCAAACCACAGTCTACCATTTATGATGTGTTCAGGAGACATGTAACTAGATGCCTTGGCAACATTTTAAAACAGAACTCTCTACTCTCCCTCCAAATCAATCTTCCCCCTTGCCTTCCCATCACCTTTGTATCTCTCTCTTCATTCACTCAATCTTCTTTTCACTCTATTAAATTCCTGAACTCTGCTCTCAGATGATCATTTTTGATAGAACATCTCTCCTCATTTATCCTCACAAGAATGTAAACTTTATAACTTTTGTCTACTAAACCCATTTGTTGCCAACTTCTGGAACAGTGCCCGACACATGAGTGCATGACACCTAAGCATGTAATAGGTATGTATGCAAGAAATTAATGAATCTCAAGCTCAAATGCCTTTGGTGGTTTCCTATTACATAACAAATTTACCTTGGCATTCAAATATTTTATAATGTTTATAATTATATTCTGGTAGTATATAGAAGCTATGATTATAATGAAAATGAAGACTCAATAATAATTTAAATAAATCATTGTTAGAAAAAATCTTTAACTGATTAGTTCTACAAAGTGTTTTGAACTTTTTCAATTAAAAAAACTAGATGAACTATGTACTAGGCAACATGCTAGGAGATTTTTTACAAGCGTACAACTTGATGACATGAGTTTTATTGTTCATATTTTTCAGATTAAAAAACAGACTTAGAAGATATGATTTGTCCATGGTCACCCAACTAGTAAAAAAATAGAACTGAGGTTCAAAATGTTTTTAATCTATCATTGTTTTACTGTGCTGCTTCTCATTTTCTTTATACAGAAAAGAATCAATATTATAAGTTTAAAAAAATTAACATTTCATAGAATTCTCTTGATAGGAACAGTCCACTTGAAAATAGAGAGTTTTCTCTTTTTGGGGATGGAGGTTTTCATCTCTCTTGGAAGATCTGAGGGATTCTGGGAGCCCCAGAACAGTGTCTTACCTGCAGCTGTGAATTGAAACCTGGTGTGAGAGCCCTGACTGTAAACCCTAGAACAAACAAAAGACAGTCCTCCATCCCTCAGGGTCATAAAAATAAGGAAGTATATGATGGAGTTCATAAATATACAGAACATTTCCATTTTCATATAATTGCTGTACCTGTCCAGGGACCCTTTCTTACTCTAAATGGGAGCTACCCACTAAGCAAGGAACTGCCTCTCACCCTGGCATTTCATCTCCTCAACACCTTTCACCCCTCCCTGCTTCTTTGGTAGATGGATCAAGAATCCTGCTGGAGCTTGAGAGTCCTGAAGAAGCTGCCTCTTCCTTGACCCCACTGCTACTCTGTACATGGCTGGATCTCTTGGAAATTGCCAACCCTGGAGAGAAGTGTCTTTGACTTCTCTCCTGGCCTGGACAAACCACAGAGGAAACTTAAGGTAAAAAAAACATTTTAATATATTTTCCTCTTTCTTTCAGCCTTTGTGATACCCATCTAGTCCACAGAGGCTAAATGCAGGTGGAAGGGGAAATACATCGTCTCTGCATGTGCTCCTCTGACATTTTGATAAGAGCACAGGGATGGGAAGGTGACACATCCCTTAAGCTACCCTTTTAAAGACATACTTTTTCAGGGCTCTCAGAAAGCTCAGTAGGAGCCTTTCGGTCTGCTGGGGAAGTTAAAGAATTGTAAGAATAATTAGACCCACAGAAACACACTTGTCAGGTGTGGCTATAATGTCTCTATAACTTAATATATACTTACAGTTAGCTTTTTAATAATTCTGTCATTTCCATTTAAAGAAAATGCTATTTTTAACTTAAATTCTTATTAAGGGATATTTGTCTTGGTTTGTTTGCTTGTTTATGGAGTTTGAATTTTAGGCATGAAAAGGACTGTAAAGATAATTGATATCATTATTTTATATTATTACATAATAATATAATTATTATTACATAATATGGAGGCTTACTCAGACCTCAACCTGAAAAAGTAAGTCATCAGGGCTGTTTTAGAGAAAGCATGGCCACAGGGAAGGTCTGGCTCCTTCTCCTTCTCCTTCTACTTAGTCCAGAAGATGCTCTGCAAAGCCCACTTGGAATATTGTTGAGTTGATCTGAACTGTTCTGGAGAAAGACACAGAGGAATGAAGTGGTTTCTATGGCCACATCACTTGGTGGCAGAACAAACTAAATTGTAAGCTCTTGATTTTCATTTCTGACTTTGAGGTTAATTCAATTCCTTATATCTAAGGGAAAGAAAAAAATACTTAAAATGAAGATGGCTGAAAAGAACACAAACTTTAAAATTTTCCCAAAGGCTGGGCTGTAAATAACTATGTTGTGACAGAATAAAATACTTCACACTCATAAATAGGAAAGTATTAAACCACAGTGAAACATCCTACTGATGATGGGCATTTGTCCTGCTTTGGTAACTTTGGTTCTGACTTGTGTATTCTCCCTGGCACAGTGAACCTATCTTACACCTGTCCTCTGAGTCCTAAAATGCACTGAAATACTCAAGGTTGAGAATATTTAACCTGCTGCTGCTTTGCAGCTGCCCCAACCGATATTTGTTAAGGTCGTTGTTTTGGGGGAACAGCCATGGAACCCCAGGCATATACATGCCAAAGGAAAACTTGGCATGAACATGGGGGGCAGGTAAATCAGTCCTTTGAGACAGAAACAAAACTGTCTTGCTGTCATCCAGGATATGCTCTTTGGCACTGAGCTGGGCATCTTAACCAGACAGGAGGAAATGCTCGTTTGCATTATAGAGAAAAAGTACAATTTTAGTATGTGTAGGAAAATGTTCTTCCAACAACCTCTTTGTCTCCCTGCCATCAGCTTCTCTAAGTCCATGTTTTTTTCTGCTCAAAATAAGTCTCCGTTTTTCTATTTTGTTTTAACCTAAAGTTCTGCCTTGTTTTTTTTTTTTTTCTGCTTCTCCCCAGTCTCTTCCTACTTATTTATTTGTTCTCCTTTCATTCTTTCTTTTGGCTTATGTATTCCCCCTGCTTTTTCCCTCTTTCTTCTTTTTCTTTTTATTTATATTTTCTTTCATTCTTCTTTTCCTCCTTCCCTCTCTTCTTTCTTTTCCCCATTCTTCCACTTCTCTGTTTCTTTTATTTTTTTCATTTTTAGTCTTTCTTTCATTATTTTTACCTTGTTTTCACTGTCCTTCTTTTCTTATTTCTCATCCTTCCTTTATTTCCTCCCTTTTTTCCGTTTTTCCAACTATATGTCTAACTTTTCTTTTCTTCCTCCCACCTTCTTGTTTCCTCTCCTTTCTTCCTTCTCATTTCTTTCCTTTTTTACTTCCTACTTCTTTTTCTTTCCTCCTTCTACCTTAACATATTATCTCCTTTCTTCCTGTCTTACTTCGGGTTCCCCAAAAGTAAACCATGAGAAAGAAATTTGAGTGTAAGTAGTCTATTTAATGGTGATCTAGCAGTAGAGAAGTGAAAGTGGGTGTCCAGGAAAGCCAAGAGAAAGTCCACTGATTGGAATGTTTCTACTGTGGATGATGAGCTCTTTCCACTAGGAGTCATCCACTAAGTGGTAAAGAAAAGGGGATATTCCTTTACAGACTTGAAATTCTATAAATGGAGGGTCCCTCCTTTGGCTATAATTCTTATTCCTTGTAAACTGCACAATGTGGAGGGCAAACATGTCCATGTTCAAAGAATGGCCTCAAACAGAGAAACATGGGGAGCCCCAGCATGGGTGAAAATTATCTGGGCTGACCTCCTGCATATGCCAGGTTGATAATAATGGGTAATTTCAGCATTTAATATGCCTCTTTCCTTCCATCATTCTTTATCCTTTCTTTCTTTCCTTCTTTTATTAAACAACTATTGAGTATCCATATAGGCCAAGTACTGTGAATGAATGTAGGAACAGGTAAACAGGCATGGTCCCAGTCTTTTTACAAATTACACTCCTAGTCTATTGAAACTGATGAAAATAATTATTAATCACATAGTCATAAAACAAATATAAAATGGGAACTGTAATATGCACCGAGGAGAGACTCACAGGGTTATCAGAGTTGATGATATAGGATGTGGTCTATTAGGTAAGGATGCCTGAGGTAGTAATTTGAACTGAACTCTAAAAGGTGACTATCAATTATCTAGAAGAACAGGTGGTGTGAAGAGCCTTCAAGGGCCAGAGAACAGTCAGTAAAGAGAATACGGTTGGTAAAATATTGAAGAGCATCTGAAAGGGCAGTTTGGCTGGGACAGAGAGTAAGAGACGAGGTAGCACAGTTTAAGCTGGAGCCAAGCTATCCAGAGAACTTCTTTGAATGTGAGTATAGCCATGTCATTTCTGTGTCTGAAAAACACTCTAGTGGCGGACTGTTACTTACATAAGTGCTTCTTAAACCTTTCTACTTATATTCCCCTTAAAAGTAGAAGACAAGAGGAAGGCATTCTTGGTTATCTAACAGATCATACTTGGAAATTATTTTTAACATTCTTTTCATATTTTATTTTAAAAATTTGTACCAACTTAATGTACAGTATATTTCAATGTACCAAACTAATTTATATCAATCTTGCTAATTATTTAAATACTAAACTACATTTAATTTTGAAATGTTGATACAGGTAAAACCCCAGGCAACATAACCGGTAGCTATCTTTTTTTTATTAAGTATAATGGTTAAAAGCTCAAGTTTTAAAGAAAATAGGGAAGAAAAGATCAAGCACAGGCTTTTTCCTTACTGGTTGGATGGCCTTGGGCAGCTTCATTAAACTTTCTGTGACCTGGTACATCCTCCCTCATCAAAATTAGCTAACTCAGAAAGATGCTGTAAGAATTTAATCGGAGCATGTAGCATCTGGCACAGATCCAGGTCATTAGCACTCTGTCTATGAAGTTGACTATTGTTATTATGATATCACAGCATTATTATTATATAGTAACTATTGTTACTGCTATTTTTATTATTGTAATTAAGTTGAGTCGTAGTTATGGGAGGGGACATCAAGTGAATAGGAGCATACTAGCAGGCCAAACGAGGAAACGGAGGCTCAATTTTCTGAGAGTTCATGTTCCTACACAAGGAGATGTCCTCACATTGCTTCTAACCCGGTGTCTAATGGGCCTGGACATACATTGCCTTAGGGCCCAAAGGTGCTGAATCCCAACAAAGCTGGTGCTGAGCAGACAGTGGGATGAATTGCCCCCGGCACAGCTTGCACTAATAGAGAGCACTGGTAGGCGGAGAGGAAGCAGGGAGCAGAGGGAGAATGCATTAATGATGAACCTCCTGCATAAAGGGGAGGGATCAGTGAAAGATTAGCTGAACTGATGATCTTGCATAGGAAGGCCAGCTGTGAGAGGTTAATGGAACATTAAAAGAAGAGAGAACTCCAAAGACAGATGGCTGCTGCCTGGGATGGTGGCTTTGAGTCATCAGATTCCAAACTACCATGCACAACAGACAGCCACAGCTAGGGGTAGAGTTATGACCCCAGCCCTGCAGAGTTTGCTGAGAGGGCAGTTAATATTGGCGTGCAGGGTCTAGCCTTGGAGATACAATGTGTTAATTCATCAGATCCTGTGCCACTTTTCCTCATTCCCCTTTTTGAGTGACAAGCATCCACTAGGATGGAAATCCGCTGGGATATACATTAAAGAAAATGTTCTCAGGTCTTTTGCTCAGTCTATTCCTACATCTTCTATGCCTAAGGCCTAAAGTCCTCAACATTGACCCTAAAGGAAAGTGAGGAAGGTTTTGTATTCCCTGAAATTGATTTATTTATCATAGACTTTTTGATCATGAAAATAAATAATTCTCAAACTTTGCTTTGACCCCTTGCAACGGACGTGTCAGATAGCTCTACCCTGGGCATGATGAACTCCAATACGGAGTAAATGTGCCTTTGCTGCCTGCCAGCTGCCAGCTTCCACTTCCTCCCCACAAGACAAATGCATATGAAGACGGTATGCGCTCGTCTGGCCTCATTTAGGTAAGGATTAAACTGATATCAAAGGTAGACTAATTTAGATGATTGTTCTGTGAAAATTAAAACTGAACTAGAAGTGCAAAAATACTCAGAATGTTTGAGATTTCATTATATTAATATCTCAGTGGAGATCAGACTATACCTACTAATAGACTACTTTTGTGGTTTTTGCTTCAAATTTTCATCTGTTTCTGCAAATTTTAAAGCCAGATTCTCCAGTCTCCTAGGAAATTGTGAGTTGTCAATATAATTCCAAGGATATTTTGGCCTACAGCCAAGGAAAGCAAGATAATGAATAAATCTCAAGACACTAAATATAATTCCACATTCCTTTCTCACCTCTAAGAAAGTATATCTAAATTCAAGTGGGTGATGAACAATTTCAGGAACAATTTTGATTCTGCTGTTGCTCATTTTTAAAAGATTTTCTTAAGCTTCATTATTTGATTATTAGGACAAAAATAAATTATTAAAAACAACTTATAATTGATTATAATATATCCATGGGAAGTTGCTTTTACAGAGAAATGCAATAATTCTTTCCATCCTTGCACGTACACACCTTTGCAATTTGATTGTAGCACCCTACCCATCAAAAAAATGAATTCACTTCTCCAACCAGTGAATGTACGCTTAGTCATGTGGCATTTTGGCCAATGTGATATTAGCAAATTATACGTAGGCAGAGACTCAAAAGGTGTTTGCACACTGGGGCTTAACCTCTTTCGTTTATAGTGGGAACACCAAAACCAAGATGAGAATGAGCCTGACTTAGCTAGATAGAAATGGAGAAAACAGAACAGAGAAGCCCTAGCTGAACCCTAACAAAGGCTATGCAAATGGATGTGATCATTGTGGATCATCCAGACACAACTGAGTCCATGAACAATTACAATGTCAAAATTGTCTCATTAATTTTCTTCAGGTTTCTGAAAACAGAATAAAAAAGACCTGACTGAATCTAGTCCAAACGGGTGACCCAGGTTATTGTTTTACTTTTTCTTGTTGGGGTGGCTTTTCATATTAGCAATAGATAATTAATACAGAAGTCAATGCCAAAACTTGAATTGTATGGTAACGAAAGATTAAAGTATATTGCATTGCCTTTAAAGTACGTTGCACTTCATCGAAGTACATGGTATTTGTCACTGGGTGGCAAAACGAAGCTGGTAAGGAAACAGTCAGTGAAGGCTTGACAAATTCCAAACTGCTATTTGAGTGTGCAAAAATGGCAACCCGTGTTGTGTGATAATGAGCCATTGGTAAAACTGTTGCCTATGTTGGTCTTAGGCCTAGCCGTGGAAGATTGCTTAAAAAGATGCCCCTCCACCCCCATCAATTCTACCCATCTCTTGCACTGATGGTCCTTTTTACATCAAAAGCTGGAGTCTAACTCCCTTCCTCTTGAATTTTTCCAGCTCTGTATGTTAGATTATAGGAAGGAAGAGAAGTAAGCTAAAGAAGATACTGCTCAATTTGCAAACAGAGTTTAAAGAAAATGTTAGAGCCCAGGACTTGATAAACTATTCACAAACCTGTCCTCCCCTACCAAAAAAAAAAAAAAAAAAAGGTTCTAAGAGTAAGAAATCACCTGAAAATTAAAGTCCAAATTAGTGTTGTGGTTGTAAAATCTTTTCAGGATAAACAAACTTGATTCAGGTAAGTGTCATCTGATTCTGAAAGACATTAGGGTTTCCCAACTTTGTTTCACAGAGCTCTGCCTTCCTGAGCCCAGTGGGATTTGGAGTGTTGAGTTGGGCATGGTAGAGAGGGATAACCAAGTGAACTGGGAGCTGGCCCTTCACTCTGCTCCAAGGAGAAACGTTCTGTCTTTTTCTGTTATTATATTTGGTTTCCATGTAGGTGTTTGATGGAACAGTGTTTTCCAAAGCCAGTAAGAAACACGTAAAAAAAATCCTGGAAAAACCTCCAGTAAAGAGCAGAATGTGCATTTAAACCTAGGTCACTTGGATCCCAAAGGCCATACTCTTCCTTTCAGGTCATGTTGCTTAAAGGATGGTTGAGGGGTTTTGAGGTTACAGAGTTTTCCTTGCCCGTTATATGAAGTGTATCCACTATGTTTGTATTTCTCAAACCAGAAACTGACAGTCCATGTGGCAACAATATAGTATATTTAAAATCTGGATTGTTCTGGAAGATTTTAGTTGGAAAGTTGTATTATCCAATCCTTAAGAAATACTACTAACAGATCATATCATCTAAGCAGGATTGTACAGAAGAGAGATTTCAGAACTTTGTAAATCATTTTGTCAATTGATTTATTAATTGTTTTACAAATTAATTGTTGAAATTAAGGTCCTATGCTAAAAACTGGGGAACAGGAAAAAAAACAAACAACCAAACCTTGTTTTGGCTTCCAGGAACTTCTAGTTTAGAAGGTGAGGCAGAGAAAGTTTTATCTATGCAAAACAATGTCATGTCTAAAAGGAAGACACTTGAATAGAAAACTTTGTCTGCTAAATTGTTGGAGCCCATGCTTTCCTGAACCATGGGCACGTGGATTAAGAACACAGTGGCTCACGCCTGTAGTCCCAGCACTTTGGGAGGCCAAGGAGGGTGGGTCACGAGGTCAGGAGATTGAGACCATCCTGGCTAACACAGTGAAACCCCATCTCTACAAAAAATACAAAAAATTAGCCAGGCATGGTCGCAGCACCTGTAGTCCCAGGTACTCGGGAGGCTGAGGCAGGAGAATGGTGTGAACCCTGGAGGCGGAGGTTGCAGTGAGCCTAGATCGCACCACTGCACTCCAGCCTGGGCGACAGAGTGAGACTCTGTCAAAAAAAAAAAAAAAAAGAGAAAGAAAGAACACCATTTAGTACTCCTTACTTCGGATATATCCTATTTAGAATATATCATAGCTAAATGGTGTTTCTAGTTTCAGAAAATATAAAATAGATCATGTTATATAAACTCAGTTTTCTTATCACAAAAGATGTTTCTTTCCTCAGATGCAGAGGAATAAAACATAAAAATATAAACTTAAGGGCCTATGAGGTACCAAATGATTTTTATTGTATTATATTTTCAAGTGTGAGAGAGACCCTGGACACTTCTGCCCCAGGCATCCTGACTCATGATTCAGTCATCGTCTTAACTTGTTGAGGTGCCGATAAGCTAAACTAATTTACAGGTGCTAAAGCCATGTCATATGGGGCTGAACAGGTGAAGCACCTAAGGGGATCCCAGAAAAAACGCTTTTCAGTGCAAGTTAGCTTCCATATCTTCTATCCTACCAGCATTCCAGTTACTTCAAGCCTTACAAGTAAGGGTTTACATCGATTGGGGCAAATATTGAGTTTTTCCAAGTGAGCATCTTTATTATTAACATAGTTTGGTAGTTTTCCAGCAAGACAGCTACATAAATCATTCTGTCTATTTCTGTACTTGTGAAGGCATTCAGGACACCTGGGTTTGCCCAGTAGCAGAAGACTTGACTTTAATTAAGGTCAAGATGGTGAGACACAAGACAAGCTTATGGAATGTTACTCATAAAAGTGCCCAATCATATTCACAATTAGAGGTATGAACACCACTGTTTCAAAGAGGGGTAGCTGATATATTTTATTATTTTTAAAATAGTGTGGCTATCCTGACCATAGTGTAGATTCCCTGGAGTGTTAAATGGAATGGATAGCCATCTTTACAAATGTGTGTGTCTGGTCTTTCCTTAGTTATATTTGGAATATTAAGTACATTTGTAAGATCCTTTATAAGAAACAATTCGATAAGACTTATTCCAGCAGAAATCAATTACTGATAATAATAGAATGGCCAAAAATCATGGGTAGTTATATTTAAAATTGCTTTATAAAATTTTTCTCTATATGAAATCATTTAAAATTTCCAAAGATTCTGTAAGCTAGGACTATTATAATCCCCACTATCCAGGTAGAAAACTAGTCTAGAAAGATTAAATAGTTTGATCAAGATCACACAGCTAGGAAGGGCTTTAAATCCAGGCTGCCTGGCAATATTGTTTATTGATGTGGTCCTTAGGCAAGCCATTTTAAATTTATTTTTTACCGTACTCAAGAGAAAACAGAGAAAAATATGTTTTCTTCTTTCTCATTTATGATGTTAACATCTGTGGCAAAAGTTCCCATTTATCTTGAAATCTACATTTGAAAGGGAAAAAGCACTTTTAGTAGATGACATTATAATATGGTTTGGAAAGCTCATTATATGAAAGAAAGCACAAAAGGTGAATTTGCGCTACAATCTGCTAGCCTGTTAAATAAATGTATAAAATAGAGCTTAAAATATGAGCCTAAAGTTAAATACCTTATGTTGCAAACAAACTTGTCGCATCAGTGAAAATGCCCTCCTGTTCTCCCTTTTTCACTCCTGACACCACCCGTCTGTTCTTGCCAGCCAGGGGTTTTTCATCTTGCTGTCTTAGAAAGTGTTTTTTCAAGATCCTAAGATATCAATAAACCAAAGTCTGCCCAATGATTAAAGAAAGATATTTTGACCTTCAGAAAATATACTTATGCTTTTTATCTCCAAACTTTTACCTCTCACCTTCTACTCCCTAATTCATTTTCAGGTCTTTTCTTTCACCTAGTTGAGTGGAAAAAATATAGTTAATAATAGATAAAACTGTATTGAAGGCTTACTTCTGTTTCAAACACTTTCCATATATTCTCATAGAATGCATTTCCATGTATCCATATATTATTTAATTTTCCCACATCTTAGGGGGTATGAAATGTCTTTATCATAATCCTTTTATAGATGAGAGAGATTAAGTTTATACAAAGGAAAAGATATTGAACAGAGATTTGAATGCACATAGTTTAATCTTGCTGCCACATTCTGACCCACTCTGTAATATCGTTTCAAGGACCAGTAATGCAGTATTCTCATCTAACTTAAATATTGAGTCCATTTCAAAGTTTGTGTAAGATGAACATCATCCTAATAATGTGAATGACATTGGGAATCATTTACTCTCAGGAATTTCATTTGTTTGCATACAAAAAAGTGGTTTGGGAAGATATTTGTGCTGATAATTGATGCAGGGAGTTTTATCTGAATCTAAATTATAATGTGTTGATAACATTTCCTCTCTTGTGAAATATGATTCTTAATGAAGTCTGGTTATAATCAGTCAGTTAGCAGATTTGTGCTAAAAATAGCATCCCCAATGCTCAGATTCACTTGTGGAACTTCAAGAATTCTGCCTAATTATACCAAAAGTGCACATATGCAGGGCAGACCCATACTTACATAAATTGGGTTCACTACATAAATACTCCTCATATTTTTGATACTTTATTACTGTGGTCTTTCAGTTTTCTTAAGAAGTATAAATCATTAATCAAGCAAAAATGTGCATATGTGACATGCTTTTTCATTTGCAATGTTACTTTATTCAGGCAAAATTTGAATTTCGGTAGTACATCATCAGGAAATATATTATACCCAGTGTGCCTTGGGTAGCAAGGCTCTGCCATATTTTGTAGTCACATAAGATACTCAGTAATATTTGTTTATGAATTACTAATTGTGTTATAGTGAAATAGCATCTGATTTTGCAAAACAATAAATATACATCCACTGTCTGTCTTATGAAATGGAGGCTGAGGCAGGAGCATGGCATGAACCCGGGAAGCGGAGCTTGCAGTTAGCCAAGAGCTCGCCACTGCAAACCAGCCTGGGAGACGGAGCGAGACTCCGTCTCAAAAAAAAAACAACAAAAAAAAAAGCAAGACAAAACTTATTCCTGCCTTATCACTCAAAGATAGAGCTTGAGTGATTGAAGATGTTCAGGAACTGATTATATACGTGAGGGTAATTATAATGTGGACTCTAATTATAAAACTAGCATGTGGCATTGGATTCCTGGGAGTCATTGAGTTGCCTCTCCAACAGAGACCAGGTGCCTGGGGAGAAAAAACAAAAGCCGAGAATGGAGAACATAAGTGAGAAGTAGAAATAATTTAGGAAAAATATTCCCTGCCCATTTTCTCTCATAACTATACAACACTTTCCCTTTTTTGCTCTTCTCTCTTTCCTTCTACTTTGAAAAATTAAAAAACGTGCAAAGGCAGAAAGAAAAGAATAATCTAAAAATTTATTCTTTTGCTTTTTAATTTTTTAGCTGTTTTTATTTTGTTTGTTTGTTTGTTTGTATAAGTAGACTTTTATTACCCTATGGCTATTCTTGTTGTCATTCCCTTTTTGTAGACGTGGCAAACGTTAAGTGAATAGTTGATGTGTAAAAAGAGTCAGAAAACACACTCCTTTTCATTACAGGAAATTAATTAGTTTAGCTTATTTGTTCCTCTGTAAGAGAATGAGAATTTGACATACTGGATAAAAGAACAGAATAATTCAGTCCAAAGTTGGCGACAAAAGAGAGAATATATTTAAAACATAAAGGAAAGATGAGGAATAACCCAATTCCATTCCCTCCAGGAAGGCAGTTAGCTTTTTTGCAAATATGAAAAAATATATATCAATACTTCATATTTTACTTTCAAAACAATTAGTAGAATAAATTGCACAGGATTTAAAAATTCAACAATTGGCAAAACTGAAAATTATTTTGTGCTTTGGAAATGGTTTTGTGTTTACTCTTTGATTCAGCTAAAACATGTACATGACACATTTAATTCTTTGTATTTTAATATTTATTTTTTAGTTCCTATATTTTTATTGTCTCGAACTTTCTGTACTCCGGTGTTTGGTTAGTTTCATAATTCCCATTATTTTTTTAAAAACTTTATTAAAATCACAATGCTTATTTTTATCAATTTTATAATTTTCCTGTTTAATAGTCCTATTATAATGTAGACTCACATATCCCTACTGCCCCTAATATTGATCATTTTGTTGCAAAAAAGTATTGAGAGGGAGACACAATCTGCATTATGTAATTTTATATTTCACTTATAACATATTGTGCGAATCTACTTAGTATTGCAAAAAGGGCACATGGGTAAAATGGTGGAGCAACAATTACATTTTGCTGTGTTGTGTAGTCAATAAATGTCTAGGCTCAGGAAATAGACGGTCTGGGTTCCAGTTCCAGCTCCAATATTTACTAGAGAAGAAAATATGAACAACTGACTTTACTTCTCTTTGCCCATGTACATGTGTCACCTTTAAAGTGAGGACAATTATAATAATAAAACCTATCCGATTAGACTTGTGAAGTTTGAACTGGTTAATATATGTAAATTGATAAGAACAGTTTCTGGTGCAAGAAAAAAGTGCTCAAGAAAGTTAGCTGTTATTACTATTTTGAGTCAGGATTATAATTAATAGTGATTACATTTTGGAAGTAACAGTGTGAATTATGGCAAAGACTAGAAACAACCCTTCATTGATGACATGTGCAGATACTAGTTTGTTCTTTTTGAATAATGAAGCTAAAATGATTCTTCAAAAAGTCCTTCTTGTTAAATAGAAGTGAATGAAGCTAGCATTTTATGGGGTGACCTGGGGTAACATAGGACCTTATACCTGGCTGGGACTGAAAAATCATTTTATTGCCTAGATGAGGAAACTGAAGTATTTAGAACTGATAAAGGCAGCTTTGGAACAAATATTTTCTGACTTCCTGCTCTCGGATTTCTTCCACAATGTTTTGTACTACACTAAATAAGCCCTATGCCTCTTTGAAACATTCTTCTAGCTAGGACAGAAAAAAAAAATGTTTAAGCTGAAAAAAATATCAAAGTGCTTAGATATGAATTGGAAAACAGTTCTAATTAAAGAATGAGAGGAAATTCATACTGTTTTGAAGTATAATTTCATATTTTTAGGTCTAGCTGGACAATACTCCAGTCAGCCCATCCACCACATTTTGTAAAAAATTGTTTTTATTAGTTTCTTCTTTTCACTTGAATTAATAGCTTCCTTGTGCTAGGAATCTGCAGAGGGCCCAGTAGCCTTAAGCATTGTACAACTAAACCATGGACTCACCCACTAAGTGATCCTCATACCCTTCAATAAGCATACTAAGTGGTTTCATTCATGTTATATGTAATCCTCCTACCAAATTTTATTATATGCATTTAACAAATGTGAAAATGTAGGCATTTGAAAGTTAAATAACTCGCCCAAAGCTAAGCAGCTAAGATACCTGTGCAGGATTTAATTCCAGTGTCTCTGGTTCCAAAGCCAGATCTCTTTCAAATATATAGCAAACAGCATAATTTCCATTTGTCAGTGTCAACTGGAATCAATGATCTTCTTTCTTCGGAGTTGCAAATAGCTATTTTCCTAGTCCCAAGGGCAGCCATGGCAGCAATACTGTCCTTGGGTGCCAAAAGGAGAAGGGAAGCATGTGATTTGAGAAAGCGCATTGATTGCCTGGCCCGTTGAGAACCATGGACTGCCTGTGCTCAGCCATAAACTTTCATTTCTCAGGCCTTGACTGCTTTATTTCTAACAAACCATTAAATTTAACCATGTTTTTCAGCAATATTCAAGTGTATAAGAGCATATTTATTTTACTGATATCTTGAGATTCAGAGTTTTCTTCACATACTAGACTAAAATTTCCTGGATCCCTGACTACACCATTACCATTGCTATGAGGGGTGGATTGAGGAGTTCTGAATGGCCTCACACCACTCAGGATCTCAGTTTCAGTGTTTGGTGTTTTTTTGTTTTGTTTTGTTTTGTTTTGTTCTGTTTTGTTCATATTTTAGAAAGAAAAAGGTATATCAATAAGGAAAAGTTACAAGGCCTACATATATACATATATGATGTGTATGTGTATATATACATAAATATATATGTATTCTTACACACCATACACACACACACAAACGTGCACACACACATATAGCAAGAGACAAAGAGAGATATATATTCATCTATATAAATATACAATTACATATAGAATCCTCCTATGTAATGTGTGCATATATAGTAGATACTACTCAAATATGAGCTTTCACACTTTTCTAAAAGTTGAAAATCAAATTCAAAAGCATAATAATTTTTACTGCATCCAATAATATTCAGAATATTTGTCTCTTTCTTTAGCAACTCACACAGGCCTAAATCCAATAGTTTTTCCAAGTTTAGTGTAGTGTCATATTGGCTACCACACACTCCATGCTTGGAGCTTACCCTTTCTATGTGGCACTATTTTACCCTGTTATTACACCACTAGATCAGAATAGCAATATGATGCCATGGATTCACAATGGAATCATCATAAGGCCAGTATTTTGAGTAGACTCTCTAATACAAGAAAAGAAGTCACACAGTATTCCCCTGTAACATGATGTTGGTAACATAATACCTGACGTGTGAGGCAGTCTACCCTGGAGCTACATATGGCTATGTTACAATAAGAAGTAGATTAAAAAGTCCATTAAACATTTGCTGCAGAAACTAAGAGGACTTTTGAAAATCACTAAATGTGCTTCTTACACTGTGAGAGAAGACATTGCATTTCTAATTTGTGTGTTTGATTTACTTTTCCATAAGAACCATTAGGATTTTAGGGGTTACTGGATCTGGTAGGGTTTTCCCTGATGAAACATGCTATTGCTTAGGACTCTCTACAACTCTAAGTAACAGAAATACAATCTAAACCACAGCAGCAGTAAGTGGAATTTATTGCATCACAAAACTGAAACAGTTTAGAGATAGAACTGGTCCCTACTGAAGCTGGAGGCAGCAGCTCAGTGACAACTCTACCATGTGTTGACAGTCAGTTTTCATATTCCAGGCTCCAGAATTTATCCTATACTCACCAGTATGACTCCAAGCAATGAGAGAGGAGGACCCAAGCAGGCTTCTGCTTATGTTTTTGGATTCAGTCTCTTTCATTAGCCCCAATTGGATCATGTATCAATTCCTGAGCCAATTATTGTGGCTAGAAGGAATAAATGCCAGAAGGGGTGGGGCATAGATTAGGTTAAGCCAATCAGCCACACCCCTGATGCTAAGAGTGAGGTCATTTCCACCAAATAGCAAGGCTGTAACACAATGGTAGAAAAGTAATTTACCAAAAGGAAATTAAAAGCGCTGATGGCAGAAAAAAAAAGGGGGAGGGAAATGGAAGCTGGAGAAACAGCCAACAAATAGAATCCCAAATGTTTTGCTTGAAATGGAAGTGTTTACTCAGAAAAAACGTACAGATAACATTCCTTTGGAACTATTATCCTTAAAGTCTTGAGACTGCAGACTCTCAGTAACAGAATGTCAAGGAATCCTAGGATTTAGATTCTAGAAAAAAAAAAATGGAGGGGATATCAATGTTTTCTGCCAAGTAGAACATCTTAGCAATATCAAAGTTCTTTGAAGATGAGAATTATTGTATTACTTTTATCACGAGCCCGTGATAGATTTCCTAGTGTCAATCTGAATAACAAACAGAGAGAGACTCTCTAGAGGAAAAGATGTTTATTTGGGAATAGAGTATTGCAATGGGGATATGTATGCCATTATCAACTATGTGCATAGTCAGGGAGGTAAAGGAAGGCAAAGGTTTTTGAAGGAAAAAAAATGAGAAGTGCATAATTGTAGTAATTATCCGTAGCTACGTAAATCAATTACAGCTTGAGGCTGGACAGGCAATTGTTGAGAAGATTTCCATGCATAAGTATTGTTTTAAGTAAGTTTGTGCAAGGTTACAAATCAAACCTTTGTTCAAGGTTGTGATTTTTGTAGAATTTGTTTTATTATCAGGCATACAAGTGTGAGAACCTTCTCTTCATGGCGTTCCCTGGCTCTATTTGTCAAAGTTTTCTTAACATTAGTGACTCCATCTTGATTCTTTCATTTTCACATTAGAAAACGTTCTTTTGTGCAGATAAGGTTAATGAAGTTCTGTTCACTTCACTTTATATTATCTCTTGATTATCTATTTTGGCTTTCTCAGAGATTAAGACTTGCAGGAAAACCAAGGCAACGGGAATGTTCATTTTCTAGGGCAAACCTAGATTCTGAGTATGGTAACTGTCCCAGGGACACACTGAACATTATTAGAGCAAATATCAAGATATTGGAAGCAGTATTGTATAATCACAAGACTCAGGCTTTGAGGTTAGGCAGATTTGAATTCTAATGTTATTCCATCCATAATTAAGGCATGTCTTCCCTCAGGCTCAATTTCCTTATGGGAAATCATACTACATGCATGATAGAGATGAAGAATTAAATATGGTAATATATATATAAATTGGAGAATTGTTTATTATATAAGAAATAAGCATGCCTTTACCCTCTCCTTACTAGTTCGTGGAACATGTTTTGAGATCAGCCTAATATGTCACCTTTAACTTAACTAATAACAATAAAAACCCACTATGTATTGAATGAACTCCATGCAGTGGTTAGGAATGCAAACTGCAAAGCCTGAATGCCTGGGTTTGAAAGTAAGCTCTTTTAACTTGTTAGTGACTAGTTAGGCAAACTACTTAACTCCTCTGTGCCTCAGTTTTCTTATCTATAAAATAGTGACAAAAAGATTTCTGACATTTTTATTAAAAGCTCATCAAATGTCAGGCATTCTTCTAAGCCTTACTATGTATAAACTCATTTAGCTTCAAAATAACTCTCCATAGTTGTACTACTACTATTGCTATATTGCAGATGGGGAAGCTGAAGCACAGAAAGATTCGGTTGCTTAACAAAGTGATGGAACTGAGATAAAAATCCACAAAATGTGCCTCTGAAGTCACTTTGCTAACCACTAACTCTATTCATTATGTATCTTTACCTCTAAACCTTTCTGTGTATTATCTCATTTAATCCACTCAGAATTACAACAACCTAAATCACTATTTCCAGAGAACAGAATTTTAATTTTCAAAGAAGGACTAAGCAACAACCAGGCAAATTAAATAGCTCAAGTTTACATGGCTAGTATGTGTTGCTGCCTGGTTTTGAAACCTGTATTATTAAAACCTAAACCTTACAGCCTCCATTTCAATATCACCTGAAGACTGAGAATTCCGCCAAAATACATGAAATCCCCTTGTCTAATTGGAGCATTTGGAGTTCAGCAGAATTATCTCACCTACACAGTTCTTACAACACTCCTTCTTGCATACTATGCATTTCAGGTTTTTGTTAGTCATCCCTGCTGTCGCTGGCCTGTGACCTTGGAAGGACTATTTGAGCAGCTTGAATGGAGTGATCAGCAGAAGGTTAGTTACACTGGCAGCCTCTAAAGTTATCCTGCACCAACACTTGCCTGGAAGCAAGAAGTTTAAAGTGGTTTCCATAAGAAAACTATATATAGTTTTTATTTTCTTTTTAGCTTATCTATGAATTATACCTATTGTAATTATCCACTCACATTTTTATAACTTTTTTCCACTGCCTTTAAAATTAACACATACACATTACAGAATGCTAGAACATACAGAAAACATATTTATTTTTCAAGATCGACTTCATAGGTTGATTATTTTCCTTGTTTTTTTAGTTTTATGTGCTGTTTGAACACTTTACTGGTAATTATATTTACTTTTAAAATCTAATCTAATCATAGTTTAGCCTTTTTGTAAAACTAGGGAATAATCCAATGACTGTGGTGCTTCCTTATTATATATGAACATTTTGATTGTTAATATATTATTATCACCTCTTACCACCATATCCTGAAATCTCATATATTTTGGAGTTAAACCCCTAGAAAATGTCAAAGTTATGTTTTGCTTTATTTTATTTTCATTTGGCATGCTTTCCTGCAAAAAAATTTTGGGTTTTGTATGTCCCTAAATCATATATATTTACCTGCTATAGTACCCATCGCACTCTTCTGGTGTTTTACTACTCAACTCAGTGTTTTACTTTATCTTCTTTAGGTTGACTTAAGTAGCTCTTTGAATCAATGTTTTCTGAGGTCCATATGGGCAGCAAAGTTACTGGGCTCTTGAATAAGTGAGAATGTCTTAACAAATGAACTTCTGCTCAATGTAGACTCTGAGTTGAACCCTACGTCTTTTGAAAGCATGTGCACATCCTCCATTCACTTTGTGAACTGGAGAAATATGTGATCAGCTTGATTTTGTTTTGTTAACAAACTCATCTCCCTCCTTTAATACTTATAGAACGTTTTGTCTGACACTAAATCTAGGTTATTTGCTATCAGACAGGAGACTACTCATCAGACAGGATGATTCAATTCAATATGGGGAATTATAGGTGTTTTTGACAGACTGAGAACTTACTAGTTTCATAACACTTATTGTGAAATTTTACTAGAGCTTACTGAAAAATAAATCTAAAGAAAAACAAAATTGGCGATAGAGAGCAAAGGAAAAGTAATAATAAAAAAAAAGACACTCACATCTAGCAAAGAGCTCTAGCCAGATATAAAATAAAGATAAAAAGAAACCAAATAAACGGGTCAACTCTTTGAAAGTCAAGTGGGTAAACTTTCGGAAAGTGCAGACTGATAGAAGAAGAAAGCAGAATACTAGAGGCATGTGCCACTACTTAAGAAAAAGTTGTAGCAAAAAGCAAATGCTGTTCACTGTTTGAAACATTCAAAAGCTGGAGAGATACAACTGAGAAGCATAAGCAGAAATGTCGGTCCTCCGGAGGACTCTAGCTTCCAAGGCAACAACAGCAGTTTGGAAACTCCCTAGCAAACAGCTTTCTTAGGCTTAACTGATTATAGCAAGAGGCACAAACTGCTGGCACAGGTATAAAATGTGCACTCACAAAAGAATCTGCAGACGCTTCTGCCAGGTAGAGGCTCCCTCAATTTACCATGGAGGTGCCAGAAATATGGGGACCAAAGAGAAAGTGGAAGTCAAGAGATTTTTAATATTCTGAATGAGAATAAACAGTAGCTCAAAAAGTAGCTGCCACTTTTGCGAATGTTAAGGGCTAATAAAGTATAATTCTCTTGAAGGTCACTCTGCATGAAGAGATACTATATATAATTGGAATTTTCCCCTAGACAAATGGCAAACAAATGGCAATAAACTACTTATAGGAGATTTCTCCCTGTTGAAAATAACCTCAAGGCCATAGTCTCCAGGGAGACTTAAGTTGACTGGCATTTTAGAAAACCTAATACAAGGAAGGGTTTCTCTGCCTGCCTCTTTCCGTCAGCCACCACTGAGTCCCTTCAACGGACCTCGGCAATAGTAAATCCTTAATTTCAAGAATAAAATAAAACACATCCTGAATCAACTGCTATAGGTGTTTCCTTGCTTTTTTTTTTTTAATTTTCTGGGAGTTGGGGCATCCATTTTGTCTGTCTTCAGATCACTTTGAATCCATCAGAGTTGGCATAGAATTATTTAAATTTCCAGAATCTTGACAGATGACACTCCTGCGGGCATAAAATGTGTTCCCCTAAAATTGATATGTTGAAGTTATGACACCCAGTACCTGAGCATGTATGAACTTGTAGATAAGGTTTTAAGAGGTTATTAAGTTAAAATGAGGTCTTTAGAGTGGACCCTAATCCAATATGGCTGACCCTTTACAGAAAGAAGAAATTTGAACACACAAAGGACAAGTGCAGAGACAGAGGGATGACCATGTGAGGACACGGTGAGAAAGAGAAAAGCCTCAGAAGAAACCAAACCTGCCAACAATTTGACCATGGAATTCTAGCCTTTAAAATTATGAGAAAAAAGTATAATTTTTGCTTAAGCCACCAGTGTGTTGAATTATTTTATGACATCCCTGGCCAACTAACACATATGTCTATTCCAGTGGAAGACAGTGATGAGACAGACCACAGCCAAACTTCAACTTGTTTCAGGGATGAGGAAGCCATCTAGCTAGGATACAATCAAACAAGAAATTTTAAAATGGCAAAGACTTTCATTCATTTCAATGACTTAAGAATGTTGAATTACTTTTGTACTTTAACTCACAAAAACCTGATAGATAATTTTCCTTTGGACATGAATTTACAACGGCAAAGGGATTTAAAGCTCTGAATATGCTTATCCCTGGTAATTTTATTTGATGAAAGGATTTAATTAGTATTTTGGGGCATCTCTGTGTTGTGTGAAATTTTATAATAAGATCTTATTTTATCAATTAATCTTATACAGAACCTCTAAGAGCATTTAAGATGAATGTGGCTAGAACTAATTTGGGATAAGAAGTAAACTCTGTGTAACTGTTCATCTTTGAGTTTAGTGTAGAATTGTGGGTAATTTAGTTAATACATACTGAATAACCCATTCTATAGTTTCCTGGAGGCAAAATGCATTCTGCCTACCAGTAGTCCCCAGGAGGACACCCAAAATTGTCCCTGGTCAGGTTTGGGGTAGCCATCTCATGAAAATGGTGGAAGAACATTCTGATAGTCCATTGACCTCTGTTTTAGCCCATTTGAGTTGCTATAAAGAAATAGCTATGGCTAGGTCATTTAAAAAGAAAGGAGGCTTACTTGTTCTCAGGACTATGAAGACTGTAAAAGAAGCATGGTGCCGATATCTGCTTCTTGCGAGAGCCTCAGGAAACTTCCACTCAGAGTGGAAGGTGAAGGAGAGTCAGGATGTGAAGATCACAAGGCAAGAGAGGAAGCAAGAGAGGGAAGAGGTCCTAGGCTCTTTTTAACAACCAGCTCTTGAGGGAAGTCTCACAGGTCCTGATAGAGCAAGAATTCACTCATTCCTGCAAGAATGACACAAAGATGTTCATGAGGGATTTACCTGCTGACCCAAACACCTCTCATTAGGCTCCACCTCCCACACTGTAGGTCAACTTTGAACATGAGGTTTGGAGGGTCAAATATCCAAACTATAGCAACCTTCTTCTCCAAATTGGTTAAAAAAGACAATTATAATGGAATGCTTATTCCTCTGCTCTCCTTGATACCATTTCACTCCTTTCCCCACCTTGTCTCCATTCTTTTTTTCTTCCCATGGAGGAGGAATGAGTTACCTGGATTGGTGGGGGACATCTGTTGGTTTTCACGTCTCTGTTGTATTGGCCAAACCTGTTAAAATTGTGTGAGCATTGGAGATTTCTTGATTTTGTTTACTTCTACTCTGCAACAGGAAAGGCATGATTCTTGATAAGTAGCATTTTCTCTTTGGAAGCCCTTAGATGGGCTTCCCAAGATCTGAGCTTAAATAAATGGTTGGCAGGAAAGATTAGGAAACACCGTGTGCTAAGCCCTTTCTTCCAATTTAGCTTATTGAAAAAGTTTGACTTCTGTGTCTGCTTCTCAATTGTTTCTAGATGAAGAAAGAAAAGAAGAGTGCAATTTAATTAGGCTC
Source organism: Homo sapiens (assembly GCF_000001405.40). Taxonomy (NCBI): domain Eukaryota; kingdom Metazoa; phylum Chordata; class Mammalia; order Primates; family Hominidae; genus Homo; species Homo sapiens. The sequence continues at coordinate 41,855,719 of NC_000011.10, read as the reverse complement.
ACTTAAAACCAAACCGAGACTGTTTGTTGTTTTATTAATAACACATGTAGGTGCATATTTATTTAAAATAATTTTCTATTTTATATAGTACATTGTTTTAATACATCTCTGCTCTGCAAATGTTCTTTTTTGTTTTAGAATATGTTCATTACATCATTACTCTTTCTAGTTTTCTCATCTTTGAGTGGACTACCCTAGAACAAGTGCTTGAAAGCCAATACAGTGTTTATACTGCTTTTGACCTAGCTCATAACTTCTGAACACTTCCTAAGATTTCCTCAAGGCTTACAAAAGGAAGGCAGATTTCATAGAGCCAGCTGCCAATTTCCTGTCCCTTTTTCTTCATGGGGTTAGGCGATCATCTAGTATTTCTATTGACAGATCCTGTGTTGAACTTACGAATCATTTTGAAGTAGTCTTTTGTTCTTCTTGCAAGCGTTGTGCATGAAAACCCCAAGCCTCTTAACTGGCCATGTTTCAAATGTGATTCTTGATTCTGACTTTCAATCCTTCAGACTTTAACACCCATAGTAAAATGGGACACTGCATGCCTCCCCTTAACTGTGTTGTATCTTAAAGTTTTGTAATATTGGAAGGTGCAAAATGGGAGATTCTGATAGGAGTAAAAGAATGGAGAACTGTTCTCAAAATATTCTGAATTGGCCAACAGGGTGACTGTGTAAGGCTTTCTGATTGAATGTAAAGGCCTTGAATTACAAGAGTAACTAAAACACTTCTCCTAATTCATTTCTGATTGCTGTGAGGATCTAAGGGCTTAGGTACTGAGCAAGGAAATGTTGGCAGCTCTTAATTTTGTATTATTGCAAAAAGCAACTAATGTCTTAATAATATTACAAACACAGCTAATAAGAGTGATCAACTAGTCAAACAGTCAAAAACATTTGATGGCAATATATTTTACTTTAAAACATGGCAGATCTCTTATAGAGACACACACAAATAAATACTGGAAATGTAACAAAATTGACCTCTCAAGAATACTCTTAAATGATTAGAAGGACTATTTTGATAAGCTTCTTATTTTGGGAGGATGTTAGTGACAACCCAAATTACATTCAGAGAACAAGGACTGTTAAAACTTTCTTCTGAGGAGACTAGGTATGACCAGCTCCACGTTTATGATTTGTAGTGAGTTTGAACTTTTGGAACCTGAGCTGAGTTTCTCAGCATAATAAAAGAAAGCCTGAAAGCCATAAATAATGGTCTTTCTTTGCTAACCTCTCCTCATACTCCACACACCGTGTATCTTTTCCTATAAATAAATGTTAAAGTATTAATGGAATATAAGTTTAAAGGGTACCAGACTACTAGCCTACTTGGGGTACTAACATGGACTGAATCTTCACTGACACTAGGACTCCATCCAAAGAAGGGTCCTATTAAAAGACAGTTTTTCCCTAAATACATTGTATGTCATAAAGCCCAAACACAACTTATACAGACTATTCAATTCTACAGAGTACAGATGGGTGGTAGGTAGCTAATGTTTGTTGAGTAAAGGAAGACAGATCAAGGAGTTTGAAGGCTGAGTTTAATGATATGTTCTTTTTTATTAATTTCCAGGCAAAGAAGCCAACATAACACAGAGACTGAGACTCTGAGGAATGTGATATGGAGATGGAAAAATGGGGTAGGTCACTTAAAGTCAAGAAGTAAAAACTTGTCTCCTTCTCTGACATATTAGAAAAGCTTGAAGTGCTAATGTTTGCCTAATAGTTTCTTGTTTTATAAAATAGGTAAGCCTTGGGCTGCATGGTAGCAATTTCTCTAGCAGATCCTAGCAGAAGAATCCATCTCACCCTTCTGAGATCTATGAATCCAACTCCCATCAGGCTATCTCTGAGGACCTCCATTTGAGATTATTGCACTAGAATCAAATGTGTGCAACAAGTTAGCTGGTTAGAAAGCCTGGTTATGGTTTTAATGACTGCTATGCGGAGGTGCTGCCTTGTTAGTCTTTATAGCAACACCATGAGGTGAGCTGATTTAATACTACATATTATAGATGAGAACAAAATGTACCTAACAAAGTTAAATAACATATCTAAATTCAAATAATTAATAAAAGGCAAGGCTTGCAACTGAGACTTGTCTCTCCCTAAAGTGTGTCACTTGCATAGACATTCCTGAATCTTCAATAAAAGGGTTTAGGAAAAGCATGTTTGCATTGAGAATTAGCTCATCGGGGATCCAGACTCAGAAATGATTTTTAAAAGTTTATCAAGTTAATGAATTAAAAACTCTATTCTGTTTTAAAAAAGAGAACGAATTCATAAAGGTAAAGAAAATATATATAACATTAAAATATAGACATAAGCTTATCCACTTGAGAAAGAACTGCATTAATTTGTGATTTATCTGAAGAAAGGCTTATGCAGTTGAAGTTTGGGGGCACAGCCTTAAGCTGCTCACTCCAGCAGTGCTTATTTAGCATATCCATTGAGTTCTCTCTTATTTTTCCTATGAAAAGCTCAAGGTGAAGTTCAAAGATACTTTTCTCTTTTTTTAAACAAAAAAGATGCCTCAAACATTATAATGAAGTGGAAAAACCAAGAGAATAGCAAACTATGAAATGTAGAAAATGTCAAAGGGGTAAGAAGAGGTACTTCTGATTGAGGGTGTTAAATTTCAGTGAGAGTATGTATAATCCAATTTATCTCTTTCATATATACTCTAACATCATGCCTGTGCATTAATTGGGAATTTTAATTTCAATTTGTGCTGTGCCCCTATGCTATCTTTGCTAATATTCCTTCCTTTTGCTTTTCCATTTTCTCTTTCCCACCTTCTCTCTTTCTCCAGGGCCAACTAAAGTTACCTGTTGGAAGAGTATGAGATTGCCTTAATGATATATTTGATTTTAATAACTCCAAGGTGGCTGACCTCTTAACTTGGTGCCTGGGTCTATAAATTAAGGGTCATAACTTCCAAGCCTTATAATTTCTTTCCTAGTGCTATAGGCAAAGAAACACTCATATGCTGAGCATCATCTCAAATTCTTGGACTGCTTATCTATGCTAGGAAGAAGTAGTCAATTATAACTAGGGATGGTGCTCATTTGCAAAGTCAGAACCCAATTATTTTCCTGAGAAGCTGGACATTGAAGTGTTTGGGATGAACTGATTCCATCTTGTTACCTCTAAGGATCTTGCTGATATTTATCAACTGCATTTCACAGATTTATATAATGCTCAGCTTCTGTATGAAGTACAGAATGATACAAAGCTTAAAATCTCCTACTATAAGGAGAATAAGAGTGACAGCAAGAAATTGAGAGAGGAGGAATGAAAGGAAAGAAGGAAGGAAGGAAGGAAGGAAAGAAGGAAGGAAGGAAGGAAGGAAGGAAGGAAGGAAAAGATACAGCGTAGGGCTGGTAGTGTGTATTAGCAGAGGAGTGGATAGCTAAACCAAAATAATCTGGTTTTATTTTTTCAGGAGGCTTTTGAATTCATGTCTCAAAATTTGTTTTCTCTGTTTTATAAAAATATTCTGAAATACCTCACTTATGTATCATTAATAAAAGTCTGACCCCAATTGCTTATAAATTTGTAGGAAGTTTCTGCCTTGCTTTATTTCTTGTCTATTTTTGCTTTAAAGGGAGATCCAAAGAACTCAGTGAATGCCCCCTTTTTTTCTTTTCTGTGTTTTAAAATTCAGCTTATATTATTGACACAGTAATGGTTTGCAAGCTGTTAGCATTTGAAAAAAATGTCAAAATGCAATCTTAAATAATAGCCATAAATGATAGAAAATCTCTTTCTAGTAACATTTGTAACTACCCTAGGTGACACAAACTGTAGTGTTTTGCATTTATATATTTTGTTGTCCTGATACCATTTTCATACTGTTCTACTGAAATATAAGCCAAAAAGTTATTTTTGAAACAAGGTACAAGCTATGATGGAAAGAAAGGAGAGGAGAAGGACACAAGGAGAGAGAGATGGAGATAGAGGAAGAGAAAAGAAAGAGAAAGAAGGAAAGCACAAAAAGCAAGAACTCAATTTGTATCTATGGTGTGTGTTTGCTAACCCAACCACCTTCTTAGAAAATACACACCTTCCATTTTTTTGCAAAGGCTGAAGTCTACAGATAACTTTTCTGGGTCTCAACTGTGTAATTAAAAAAAAGTATAGGTCAGGCGAGATGATTTCAGGCTCTGAAATCTTATTCAAATGAGCAAATTGGTTCTGGTAGCCAGGTTTCTGCCATAATGGATATTGTGTAGCAACTATCCTTATAGAGAATTGTTAGTACATCAAATAGCAGGGTCAGACTTGTCCACAAGATAAATTAGCCCTCTTGATTAATGTTTCTTTGGCTGTTAGGATATTTTCAACTTGAGTTAAATGTGCTAGAAGGCTCAAATGAGACAAGTTTAAACAAATAGGTTGCTTTTGAAATGTCAACATGTAAAAACTAGAGTTACTGTTTATCATTTAGAGTTCACTGTTGTTTCTACATAACTTCATTTTAAGAAATATATGCAATATTTTTCATCATGCTTCTGTCAATATTTCCACTAAGTTGATAAGCGATCTCTAGATATGATCATCTATAAGTCCTCTGAGACATTACCCAGAAACCATGAAGCATCACTGATGTCCTTGTCACGTGCCAGTCATCTTGCAGATGTTCATCTTGCAGATGTTCAGATATTGGCTTTAGCAACAATACTTAATGATAGTTAATAATTGTGTGCCATTTTCCTCTTAAGAAATGTCAATCCAATAAGAAATATTTCCCAGAACTCGGAGGCGCATACACCAGAATTTAGCTATAGTGCTCTGTGGCCCACATATTAACAATGTTAGAGCCCAGCAATGTGCCTAGCACATAATAGGCAGTAAATAATTGCTGACAAGTGAATCAATGATCTTTTCACATCCTCCCAGATATTGAGATGTAGACAACTTTTAAAAGTACTAATCATACATAACTAATCTCTATTCTAAAGACTAAAAAACTGAAATCAGAATTTAACTAAGACCTATTCTATGAGGAATTTGTCTCAGGTCCGATTCAGTGTCATTTTGACCTATATAGAAGTCACTGCTGGAGGAAACAGTTGTCTTACTTTACCATTTGATAAAATTTCACTTTTTCGGAAGAAACTGCAGATTCATGAGAAAAGTCAAGCTCTTTTGTGGGATTTTCTCTATCGATGCCATCCATCACTGTGGCTGCAATGGAGCTCTCTGTATCTTCCGCCTCCACAGTGCTCAGCTGTTTTTCTCACCTGGCACCAGAAATGCAACTCAAAGAAAGAAACAGCAGAAGGGAAATAAAACAAGAACAAGAAGCTGGGATTGAAGCCAGATGAGGTGGAATGAGCAGAGGGGCTGAGAGATATAGAATCTAAATTCTACATTACGCTTTGCCACAACCCACCTCTGAGAGTGTTGGCCCCATCTCTTTCATCATTCTTCTGCTTCTTAAAAAGGTTGATATGATGAGGAAAATAGGAATGAGGAGAGAGGATCTAAAGTCTCGTTGCTTCAAAGCTTTAGCTGTTCAATATCTTCTAAGATTTCTGTGATTCTGAAACTTACACGTTTAAAAATTTAGAGCCTGATGGACTAGCTCTGAAACAAGCAAAGCAGAAGGTAGAGCCAGTGAGCATAGGATTTGCTGTCCATGTGTAGGGGGAAAGGAGAAAAAGTAGTTTCAGATATCCTTGAAGTAAACCAGTGCAGGTCAAAAAAGAAACAAAGACAGACATTTAGGACAGACTAATGATGTTACTACCATGGTGAAGTAGAAATGATTATTATTTAGATTGGTAGCCATAGTTTTATGTGTACATATATATGTGTGTGTGTGTGTGTGTGTGTGTGTGCATATATATACATACACACACAAACATCAAATTGTACACACTAAAATAAGTGCATATTATTATTAATTTCATTCTACTGCACAGATATACTTTTTCTAGTTCTTTTCTACATATATATGTATATGCAGAAAAAGTTATATAACTATATATCGTTAATTTTTAAAAATCAGATCAGATAGGTGTAGGGGTGTGTCCATAATCTCAGCACTTTGGGAAGCTGAGCAGGGAAGATCACTTGAGCTCAGGAATTTGAGACAGGCCAGGGCAACATAGTGAGACCCTATCTGTATAATAAGTTTAAAAAATTAGCTCAGTGTGGTTGCACATGCCTGTAGTCCTAGCTATTCAGGAGGCTGAGGTGGGAGGATGGCTTGGGCCTGGGAGGTTGAGGCTCCAGTGAGACATGATTGTGCCCTGCACTCCAGCCTGAGCGACACAGAGGGATGCCATCTCAATAGAAAACAAGAAAAAAAAAAACAACTTAAAATATCAAGATCTACAAATTTGTAAAGGAGAGAGAAACTTTATTTCTCCTGAAGGATTACAGTCTACAAGGTGGCCATCCTGCAGGCTGGGGAACAGCCTCTAGCCAAGATCAGAAACAGTTACTTTGAAGAAGAAAAGGTTGGAATAGGAATTTTATGCTGAACAGGTTGGCTAAACATACATACTCAACAGGTTACAGGAGGAGCTATGAATATTCATAAAGGTGGTCCTGACACATGCATATTGAAAAAACATGCATGTAACATACAACCCATGTTTACTTTCAGGTGTAGACTTAACATTTAAATGTATTACAATTAGGCCCTATGTATTAGTCTGTTTTCACACTGCTACAAATATACTACCTGAGACTGGGTAATTTCTAAACAAAAGGGGTTTAATTGACTCACAGTTTCACATGGCTGAGGAGGCTTCAAGAAACTTGCAATCATGGCAGAAGGCAAAGGAGAAGCGAGGCCATTATACGTGGAGGCAGGAGAGAGAGATCACAGGGAAAACTGCCACTTTTAAAACCATCAAATCTCATGAGAACTCCCTCAATATCACCAGAACAGCATGGGGGAAACTGACCCCATGATCCAGTCACCTTCAACCAGGTCCCTCCCTCAAAGTGTGGGATTACAATTTGAGAGGAGATTTGGGTGGGGACACAGAGCCAAAACATATCACCCTATATGTCACAACATCGTTTTAGGCCACAAAGGCATGCAAGTGCACAATCTCTGTAAAATGGCCAGAACCAGTCCTTGGTTGGCGTCCTGTTTATCTGTAGGAAGTTACTGTAATCAGTCTTTTGTCCAATAAAAGCTGTGTTAGTGGCTGGTGGAGCAGGGACTGGCGGTCAGTTAGTGAACATCTGATGGAGCTGCAAATTGTTTTAATGTTGCTTATCTCAAGGCCAGTGTTTGTTTAGCTGCTAGAGAATAAGAAAGACCTTGTGGCAATTAGAACATGGTTTATTCTGTAAGTGTAGAGAATGTGTGACTTAAATTCTTGCCTGTTATAATTTGGTATCTTATTGCCAAAATGTCTGGTTTATAATTTTGTATCTTATTGCAAAAAAGAGCAGGTTCTGTTGGTTTTATGATCTTTATTTTAACATTAATTTTGGTCAGTTGTCCCTAAACCATAAAAGGGAGGGGTTATAATGAATCCCAACTGACCTGTCATCCCATATGGCTGGGAACTAGGTTTTTAAGGTTTTTTGGGGGTCCCCTTGGCCATAAGGGGTCCACTGAGTCAGCAATGACTTAGGATTTTTAGTTTACAATATATATGTATATATATATGTGTGTGTGTAGATGTGTGTGTCTGTATGTACGTGTGTATGTAGGACAGAACCAGAAAAGTGTACATCTGTATACCAGAATGAAACATTTTGAAACAATTTTTAATCAACTATATTGAGATATAATCTGCATATAATGAAATTTAAGCAGGTTGAATATGTAGGTCAATGCCTTTTAAAAATGCAGACAGTTGTGTAGCCAGCACCCTAGTCAAGATGTAGAGAATTTTTGTCCCCTGGAAAGTGCTCTTTCATCCCTCTGCAGCTGATCATTTCCATGCCACCTCTGACACAGAGAATCACTGATAAAATTTCTGATCAGGATAAATTAGGTTTTCCTGGTTTTGAACTTAATAGAGATAGAATGTTTTGTTATCACATTTTTTTCACAACAATATCTAAGATTCATTCATGTTATTCAGTTTCAATCATTTTTGTTTCTGCATAGTTGATGTCATATGAATATACCATATAATATATCACGTGGATATACCACAATTTGCTTGATGGACAATTAGAGATATTTAAACTTTCAAGAAAGAAACCCATATAACAAATATATGGGTATATGTGTGTTTGTGTGTGTGTGTGTGTATATACACACACAGTATATATACGTATATATATATAAAACACTCCTCCTAAAAATATACATACTTCACCAAAAGTAGGGAGGAATTATTAATAGTAAATGCAAAGATGTAGGCTCCAATAATAGAGGAGATGGTTAAAAATACTTCTCAAAATCATGCTGAAGGTTAGCAAAAACCTGGAGAGAATACAGAGCTTCAAAAGGGACTCTAAAACAGAAAAATACATATTTCCCCATTCAATTGCCTTGACATCTTTGTTGAAAATTAGTTAAATTAGTATGTATGGGTTTATTTCTTCTTTCTCTTTTCTGTAACATTGATCTATATGTGTATTTGTATGAATACCAAATGTCTTGATTACTATAGCTTTTAAGAGTAAAACTTGACTCCAGGTACAGTAAGTGCTCCAACTTTGTTCCTCTTAAAGTTGGTTTATTTATTCTGAACTCTACATTTTTACATAAAATTTAGAATCACTTTGCCAATTTCTATTTATTTATTTTTTTATTTTATTTTATTTTATTTTATTTTATTTTATTTTATTTTTTGAGGCGGAGTCTCGCTCTGTCGCCCAGGCTGGAGTGCAGTGGCACGATCTCGGCTCACTGCAAGCTCCGCCTCCTGGGTTCACGCCATTTTCCTGCCTCAGCCTCCCGAGTAGCTGGGACTACAGGCAACCGCCACCACGCCCAGCAATTTTTTTTTTTTTTATTTTTAGTAGAGACGGGGTTTCACCATGTCAGCCAGGATGGTCTCGATTTCCTGACCTCGTGATCCACCCGCCTTGGGCTCCCAAAGTGCTGGGGTTACAGGCGTGAGTCACCGCGCCAGGCCAGTTTGCCAATTTCTATAAAAACTCCTGATGGAATTGATGGAATTGTAATTGGAATTTTGTTGGGTCTTTCAATCCATACCCATGTTAAGTCATTTTATTTAGTTAGATCTTCTTTATCTCAGTGAACTTTTATAATTTTAAGTGTAGAAATCTTAGACATTTTTGGTAGATTTATTCTTAGGTATTTTATATGTTTTTTAAAAAGTTTTTCAGTGTTCTGTTGTCCATATGTGTGTGTGTGTGTGTGTGTGTGTGTGTGTGTGTGTGAATACAATTACTTTTTGTTTATTAACTTTTCATCTTATGAACTTCCTAAATTTGCTTATTAGTTCTAATAATTGTTTTATAGATTCCTTGAGATTTTCTATGTAAACAATTAGATTATCTTATTTTATAGAAACAGTTTTGCTTATTTCTTTTCAATCTGATTATTTATTTAAATGATAAAATCAGGAATTCTCACCTTATTTCCAATCTCAAAGGCAAACATTTCAGTTGTTTATCATTAAGTATAGTGTTGACTGTAGTTTTTTTTCCAGGTGATTTTTGTCGGTTTGAGGAATTCCTGGTTTGCTGCGTTTTTAAAATCATGATAATTGTTGAACTTTTGCAAATAATTTTTATGCACTTATTGAAATGATAATTGTTTCTTCTTTATTCCATTGATAGGCTACATTACAGAACTAATTTTTAATGTTGAACTAACCTTTCATAAACCTTAATTGTTTATGATGTATTGTCCTATATATTATTGGATTAAATGTTAACATTTTAAATTATTTTTTCCATCTAAATTTGTGAAGAATATGGATTTATAATTTTTATATGTCTTTGTCATGCTTTGAAAAAATGTAATTTCTTCTCTGAGTGCTTGATAGAGCTCACTAGCTAAAATTATATGAGGCTAGTGTTTTGGGAGAAAAGGGTTTGATAATAACTTCATTTTAAAAATAAATAAAGGACTATTTAGATAGTTTTTCATTCGTTTAAAAATTAGGTTTTCTTTTATGTCATGAAGCATAGTTACAATAGTTGTTTAAAGTCATCGTCTGATAGTTTCTCTATCTAAATTTTTGGGGGGTTGGTATTCTTTGATGGTCTTAGCTTTAGAAAATCAGATCCCTAGTTCTCTGAATGATTAATAATTTTGGATCATGCCCTGGATATTGTGAAGATTATGCTGTGTAGATCTGGGGTCTTGTCATATGCCTCTGTACAACGTAGAAGTTTTTGTTTCTCAGCCTGGTTAGGTTTAGACAGCAAATCATTTCTCGCACTCTGGATGATAGTTCAAATCTCAGTTCAGTTATCTAAGCCATTGTTACACAGGTTGGGTTCTGTCCCATGTGCAGCTCAGCAGTTAAAAAAGGGTTCTGCCTGCAGAGGTCGCATTTTTTCTCATTCTTCTAATCAGAAACTTGAGTCTTTTATCAGACAGTTAGAATGCCAGGACACTGTGTTACTTTGGACTGGGATTCACATTGAGGGCAAAGCCAGGAGAGAAAAAATGAGTAGGAAATTTTAATTTATGTGGATTACTTCTTTGAGTTCTAAATTTCCCTCACAGTCCATCTGCTTGTACTTATTTTCCTAGTCCTAGGTAGTTGTTGTTGTTATTGTTTTAATTTTTTTTTATTTTGTCCATGATTTTTAGCTGTAGTTAGTGAGAGGGTTGGGCAGTAGTGGGCTCACGGTGCCGTAACAGAACGTAACAGAACTGCATCTCCACACCTTAGCCATCATTGTTTTTGAATATTGTTTTCATATTAAGCAATTGTAGTGCAAAGCTTAATCACATATATGATTGTATTTATGAATATTTTCTTGTAAGTAGGTTATCATATGTCTGAGTGGAATGACAGTTTATTCCTTCAATTTTCAATTCTTAGAACTTTTATGTTTATAACCCTGGATAGAACTCTTAGCACAATGTTGACTAGAGATAGTGATAACAATATCCTTATCTGATTCCAGGATCTAAAGGTAATGCTTTAAAATTTTTATCTATCAATATTATATTTGTGGAGATATTGGGAAATTTCCATTTATGAAGTTAAAAATGTTCTCTTGCACTATTTGTTTATTAAGAATTATTTTAATTTAAATTATAAATGGGTATTAATCATTTTTCTGAATCTATTGACATGACTAAATATTTTTGTCTCTTTTAAACTGATACTTTGGTGAATGACATTATACAATTTCTAGTTAAAAGCCAAAATTTGTACACACACACACACACACACACACACACACACACACATAGATATTGATATAATTTCATTCCATAGCTGAATTTTGCTGGGCAATATTATATTTAAGGTTTCACGTTGGCTGGGTGCAGTGGCTCACGCCTGTAATCCCAGCCCTTTGGGAGGCCAGGCGGGCGGATCACGAGGTCAAGAGATCAAGACCTTCCTGGCAAACATGGTGAAATTTTGTCTCTAAAAATACAAAAACTAGCTGGGCGTGGTGGCGTGTGCTTGTATTTCTGGCTACTGGGGAGGCTGAGGCAGGAGAATCACTTGAACCTGGGAGGCAGAGGTTGCAGTGAGCCGAGATCATGCCACTGCATTCCAGCCTCGTGACAGAGTGAGATTCCATCTCAAAAAAAAAAAAAAAAAAAGAAAGAAAGAAAAAAAAAGAGAAGATTTCATGTCAATTTTTAGTGGATGTTGTTGGTCTATATTTTTTATCATGTTATTATTGTCTTACATTACAATTAAGATTATTGTAGTATTATGAAGTAATTTTGACAATATTCCTTCTTTTTTATTCTTTGGAAATCTTTATATAAAATTGAAAATATATTTTTATCAAATGTTTGCTAAAACCCAGCACTGAAATAATATGAAATCGTTGTTGCAATAGTTTATTTTTTCTCCCACTGATTAAACGTATTTTAAATTTATAAGCTTTACATACTTTTTAATTAAAATTTTCTTTTAGATTTAGGGAGTACATGTACAGATTTGTTAACTGAGTATATTGCATGATGCTGAAGTTTGGTGTACGAATGATTCCATCACCCAGGTATTGAGCATAGTACCTAATACCTTTGAAAACCTTGTTCCCTTCCTTCCCCACCCCCTCTAATAGTCCCCAGTTTCTATCATTGCCATCTTTATGTGCATGAGTACCCAGTGGTTAGCTCCCACTTATAAGTGAGAATATGCAATATTTGGTTTTCTGTTCCTGCATTCATTTGCCTAGGATAATGGCCTCCAGTTGTATGTGTGTTGCTGCAAAATAAATGATTTTGTTCTTTTTTATGGCTGCATAGAATTCCATGGCATATATGTACCACATGTTCTTTATTTAATCCACACTCGAGGGTCAACCAGGTTGATTCATGTCTTTGCTGTGGTAAATAGGGCTGCAAGGAACATGGGAGTGCATGTATCTTTTTGTTAAGATGATTTATTTATTTTTGAATATATGCCTAGTAATTGGATTGCTGGGTCAAACAGTAGTGAAGCATGATATTTTCTTGACTGCTTCATGGGACTCACGACAAGGGCGCCTCATTTACTCAGCCTGCCCCTGTCTAACCCTCGCAGGAGGGAGCATGTGAGCGAAAGACTGCAGGAACTGGAGCGAGCACTTTAAGGCTCTGGGAGGAACAAACTCCATTTACTCGGTTTGCCACACTCAACCCCTTGTGGGAGGGAGCAAGTAGATGAACTAGCACAGGATCCAGCTGGCTACTTTTAGGCAGCGGCAGGAGCAAACTCCATGCCGGCCCATGGCAGCATCCAGCTTGGGGTGCCTGAGACCCCCAAACCTCAAAGGGCATGTTACAGTGCTCTTTTAGCTCGGCCATCCGTGGATGGCTTAAGTGTTAACAGTTCAGTGGGCCCTTTGCCTTGTCATGTGGTGCAGCTGCCCTCTGCCATCGAGGGCAAAGGGCCAGTATGATAGCCTTTTTTGGGGTATCCACACTCATGGCTCCCAAGCTCTTGTCTAGTGCCCAGGAAAAATTATGTTGCATGAACGAATTGAAGGATGGTGAATGTGGAGGATTTTACTGGACAATGAAAGTGGCTCTTAGCGAGTAGGGAAAATGGAAAGGGCATGGAAGGGCAGGTTATCTTCCCCTCAAGTCTGGTGGTCTCCGGCGGGACTCTTCTCTGAAGTCAAGCCATCAAACTATCCCTCTGAAGTCAAGTCGCTTCTCTCCGATGACCAGCCACTTCTCAGCTCCTCTCCAGTTGAGTCCAAGGGTCTTTATAGGAACAGGACGGGCGTTCGGGTGGTCCATAGGCAGTTTAGAAAAAGGCAACAGTCGAGTGGGAAAACAGGGATATAAGTTCTCACTTTGGGTCACAGGTTTCAGGCTTTTCGACTTGAAGGTGGGACTTCGTCAGGGACCTGCCACCGTCTGCCTAGAGTTTCTCTGCCTCCTGCCTCTGTTGTATCAGTAGTTCTAAATTCTTTGAAACATCTCCAAACTGCTTTTCACAAAGGCCGAATGAATTTATATTCCCACCAACAGTGTATAAGCATTGCCTTTTCTCCACAGCCTCACCAGCATCTGCTGTTTGTTGACATTTTAATAATAGCCATTCTGACTATTGTAAGAGGGTCTCTCATGGTGGTTTTGATTTGCATTTTCCTCATAATTAGTAATGTAAAACATTTTTTCATATATTTGTTGGTTGCTTGTAAGTCTTCTTTTGATAAGTGTCTGTTCATGTTTTTTGCCCATTTTTAAACGGAGTTATTTGGTTTTTGCTTGTTAAGTTGTTTAACTTCCTTATAGATTCTGGATATTAAACCTTTGTCAGATGTGTAGTTAGTGAATATTTTCTCTCACTCCTTAATTTAAATATTCCTTTATCTTTATAAATGCTGTCTGTTTAATCTGCTGATAGTTTATTTTGCTTCACCAAAGCTCTTTGGTTTAATTAGGACCCCGTTGTCAATTTTTGTTTTTGTTGCAATTGCTTTTGAGAGCTTAGTCAGAAATTCTTTCCCAAGGTTGATGTCTATAATAGTATTTCTTAGGTTTTCTTCTAGAATTCTTATAGTTTGAGGTCTCACATTTAAGAGCTTCATAGGCTCACATAAGCCTCTTTAAAAATAAGTTTGATGTTTCTTTTTTCTTAGCTATTGTAGATGTCATCCAAGTTTCCAAATTTACTGGCAAAAATGTTAGCATAGTCCTTTGTGAGTTAAAAAAAATCACAGCAGTTTCTGCAATTTTGTCCCTTTTTCATGTATTATTATTTATATGCATTATCTGTTTTTCTCTTGATCATGGTTAACAAAGATTTGTCTATTTTTATCAGCTTCAAATAATCATCAATAAATTTATTATTACCTTCTTTTGTATCTTTATTTTTGTATCTACCATGCTTTTTTTCTATTTTATTTTGGTTGCTTGTTTTCCTTTTCTAGCTTCTGCTGTTACATTCATACCTCAATAATTTTGGCTTTTTCAAACATAAGCATTACTGTGAAAGGACTATGAATTCAGTTTTAGCAGTTCCTCAAAAATTTGCAATGAATAAATTATTTTATTGTTTATTTAATTTCCATTATAATCTCATTGTTAACTATATATTATTAACAATATATGACTTAATTTCTAGCTTATGTCTTATCTTTAGTTATGTTTCTGACAATGATATCCAATCATAATTACATTATGTTCAGAGGACATTGACTGTAGAATAAAAATTGCTTGGAAGCAATTTGAATTTTTGCTTAAGAAGAAAAAATATTCTTAAACTGTTATGTACAGGGCTCAGTATATGTCTTTGAGATTAGCTACTACATTCCTACAAGGTTCATCAATTATTCAAAGAAAAATGTTAAATTTTCTGAAGTTGATAAAAGATTTATATATTGTCTTGCAATTTTGGTAGGTTATTTGCCTTATATACTTGTTTCCTAAATCAGTACCTGCTTATGATAGTCAAATTTTAAATTTCAATTTGAACCTCTTTAGTTCAAACAATATTATTTTTTACCTTAAAGTTTACTTTTTCTCATATCAGTATAAACACTTCATATTAATTGCCTGTGGCCTTTTTTCCATTTTGTTTAATTTAAATACTCCTTTCTCTTTATGCTAAAGCGTGGCTATAATAGGCATATAGCTAGACTTTAAAAATCTAATCTGATGAACTCTTTTAAATAATATTATTAATACATAAAATATATATAATACCATATCTGATTATACTTATTGTAATTACTGATAATTTTGATTTATTTATAGTCATTTTATTTTGTTTATTTGTTCTGCTTTTCATTTTTCTTTATTCCTGCCTTTTGCTTTATATTGAATTGAGATTTACAATTAATTTTTCTTCTCATTCTACAAATTTAAAAGTTACACACACTTATTTGTGTTTATTATTTTAAAAATTTATTTGATTATATGAATGTGAGCCTGGTCATTTAATTTAACGAAGTCTAAATTTATTACATTTTGTTACTCTACTTCAAAGTAATATGATGAACATCTAAACTTCAATCTTCTTATTACCTTTATTTTTATTATATTTGGTCAAGATTTCAGGTATTTTATAATAATTTTTACTCCTAAATTAGACTGTATTGCTATAGTTTTATACAGTCATATACCTAATATCTGGGGTAATTTTTTTGCTCCATTCTCCAGTCATATTTTGGTTAGGAAATACAATTCTAGATTAAGAATTATTTTCTCTCAGCAACTGGAAAATGTTATTTTACATTAAATTTTAAGTTCTTCACTTGATGAATCTGCACTGGTATAATTGTTTTGATTTATTTATAATAAGATTTTTCTCATTGTATCTGAAATATTCTCTTTGTTTTTGGGTTTTGAAATTGTACTGCAATAAATCTCTTGTGGATTGTTTTCATTTTAATTACTTTAAGTTTTTTATGCTTTGTCAATAAGAAGAAATGTGACTTTTATAATTTCTGGAAATTTTTCTTCTATATTTTTCCTTCCTTTTTAAAGGCATTTATTTATTTATCTTAATTGACACATAAAATTGTACATCTATTTTGTGCACAACATATTTTGAAATACGTATATATATTGAAATGACTAAATTGAGCTAATTATCATATTCATTACTTCGTGTAGTTGCTTTTTTTTTGGTAAGAACACTTAAAATCTGTCAGCAATTTTCAAGAATACATACAATATATTGTTATTTAGTATAGTAACCATGTTGTACAATAGAGCTCTTGAACTTATTCCTTTTATGTACCTGAAATTTTGTATACCTAGACCAATATCGTTCCAATACCTTTCCCCAATCCCTAGATCCCGGTAACTTCTATTCTACCATCTACTTCTATGAGTTCAACAGTTATAAGTGGAATCATGCAGAATTTGTCTCTCTGTGCCTAGTCTTTATTCACTTAACATAATGTCCTCCAGGTTTATCCATGTCATAACTAATGACAGTATTTCTTTCTTTTTGAGGCTGAATAGTATTCCATATTATCTTTTTTCATTCATCCACTGAAGGACACTTAGGTTGATTCCATATTTTGGCTGTTATAAATATCAACGGGTGTGCAGATATCTCTTGGATGTACTGATTTCATTTCTAGAAAAATAAATAAATGAATAAAACAATCCTATTTACAATAGCTACAAAAACTACAATACTTAGGATAAATTTAACCAAAGGCATACCAGACCTGTACATTAACAACCATAAAAAATAGACAAAATAAATTGAAGACATAGTCATTCATTCCATGTTTAGTGATTATAAGAATTAATGTGTTAAAATGTTTATACTAATCAAAGCAATCTATAGGTTCAACGTAACCCCTATCAGACTAACAATGACATCTTTCATAGAAAGAGAAAAAATAATTTTAAAATTTATGTAGAACCACAAAAGAACCCAGATAACCAGTCTTGAACAGAAAGAACAGAACTGGAAGTATCACACTACCTGACTTCCAAATTTAATACAAAGCTATAGTAATCAAAACAGCATGGTATTGGCATCAAAACAGACACATAGACCAATGGCATGGAAAGCTCAGAAATAAACCCACATTTTTACAGTTCATTGATTTTTGACAAAGGTACCGAGAATACACAGTGGAGAAAGGACAGTCTCTTCCATGGATGATGTTGGACAACTGGATATCCATATGATAAATAATAAAATTAGAATCTTATGTTATACCACATATGAAAATATACTTAAAATGAATTAAAGACTTCTATGTAAGATTTGAAACTGGAAACCAACTAGAAGAAAACATAGGGGGAAAGCTCCATGACATTGTTCTGGGCAATGATTATTTTGGACATAAATCCAAAAGCACAGACAACAAAAGTAAAAATAGACAAATGGGATTGCATCAAATTAAAAAGCAATGTAATCACTGAATGCATGCATTGTATTTTCAGCAAGTACACAGAGGAAAAAGTATTTACAAGTTGTGTCATTTTGGGTATATTATTTAAGCGTTTTACACAAGTTTTCGTTTTTTTTTTTTTTTAGTTTTGTGGAACTTTTTTTTTTTTTTTTTTTTGAGATGGAGTCTCTCTCTGTCACCCAGGCTGGAGTGCAGTGGTGCGATCTCAGCTCACTGCAAGCTCCGCCTCCCGGGTTCACGCCATTCTCC
This sequence comes from Homo sapiens, assembly GCF_000001405.40. Taxonomy (NCBI): domain Eukaryota; kingdom Metazoa; phylum Chordata; class Mammalia; order Primates; family Hominidae; genus Homo; species Homo sapiens. Next base: position 41,838,038 of record NC_000011.10, on the reverse strand, counting down.
TGCCTCAGCCTCCCAAGTAGCTGGGACTACAGGCGCCCACCACCATGCCCGGCTAATTTTTTTTATTTTTAGTAGAGACGGGGTTTCACCATGTTAGCCAGGATGGTCTCGATCTCCTGACCTTCTGATTCGCCAGCATCAGCCTCCCAAAGTGCTGGGATTACAGGCTTGAGCCACCGTGCCCAGCTTACACAATAATTTTCTTATCGGTGAGAATGGACACGATCATAACAAGCACATGGGGATTTCAAAAAGTGCATGAAGATGTTTTTAAAGCAATGAGTTTTGTACCTGGTACATTGAAAACAGCCAAAAATGGGATTTAGTTTTGGGTTATAACAAAAATTGTCATGGAAAATCTGCCTGGAGATGCAGATAAATGGATTCACATGAGAAAGATAAGTAGGAGTTTCCCAGAGAGTGAGAAAACATGGAAGGGAGAATCTCATTCCAAAAGGAGGAAAGCAGTAGATGATAAAGAGTTCATATTCATTGAGCACTTACAATGTGTCAGGCACTATAGCAGGGGTCAATAAACTACCATCTGGTGCCAAATCCAGCCTGTTTGCTGCCTGCTTTTGTAAACAGGCTTTATTGCAGCACAGCTATAATCAATTGTATGTGTATTGTCTATGACTGTTTTCACACTACAATAGCAGTTAGAGTTGTAACAGAGACCATATGTCCTTTATTACAGACAAAATATTTATTATCTAGCACTTTACAGTAAAAGTTTGCTGATCTTTGCGCTGTATTAAGGAATAAATGTAAATTTTCTCATTTAATTATCTTTCAGTATCAAGGGAAATGAAAGGGTGTGGTCAGTTGAAGAAAGGCAATTATTTGAAATTGGTATAGTACCAGGGCACAGAGATGAAGAGTATGTGGTGAAGAATAAAAATTGAGACAAGAAAGATAAATTACAGATAGTGCTTAAATATTTCATTCACTAATATTTGAAAATAATGACAAGGAATGTGTAAGACCAGATAAAGTATAATTATCTGGGTCAGATAAAGTATAATTCTCTAAAAATATGTGCACAGCTACCTGCTTCAGTGGCAAAGAAAAGACCTTATTCAATTATTTCCCCCCATTACAAGTTATTTTCTCTTCACACATTTGCTGTTTGTGTATCACCCCCTTTTTACTGCTTGCTTAGTCAGTATGTGTCTCTCATTCCTAAGAATCTGTTTACAAAAAAAAACTTTCTTCATTCTTGCCAATACTTTCTTCAACACCCCATCCTACTCCCTCATCCCTTCAGGATTTATATGTGTGGGTTATTTTTTTTTTTCCTTTTTGCCCTATGTTTAGGTCTTACATGAGCTTCCCGATTTTCAAACAGCCACATCCTACACAAACTCTGACTCTCATTCCAATCTATCTTGCCAAAATTTTTCTGAGCTTGTGAGTCAGTGTTTAAAATAACCTACAGGAACTGGGCTGTAATGATCTTAGGATATTTTACTCTCAGGAGAGTGTTACTGTTTCCTAAGATGGCAGACATACCTAAGTCAAGAATATCAATTCCAAGTCCCCAAAGCAAATCTGTTTGCATTGCAGTTCATTTTCAAGAAGGTGCAACGCACCTACCTCTAGGAGCTCCCATAACACAATCTTTAGCATAACTGTTGAATTCTCATGAGTGAGATGAAGTCAGTGTTTCAGATATATGAACTACACAGATCTAGAAGAGGAGAAAAAAGCACACTGACTTAGTCAAGAAAGCCTTCCCAAAGGGGAGAAGCTGACATTGAAACTGGAACTGTGAAAAATGCATTATGGTCAAGTACAACTATAAGGATAATAACACATGGCAGAATATATAGCCTTTGGGACTAATCAAGAATGGTGACAGCATTGTATTCTATCAATTTAGTTCAATTAATGTTTATCTATTTTTTCATTCATTCATTCATTCATTATTTCATTTATACTATTTCCATTCAGCAATCATTTTAAGCACTATGCAAGTCAATGGAAATTTAGAGATAAAGAATTCATGGAGTTCAAAGCTTATCGTGGTCAACAAAGCATACACACACACACACACACACACACAAACACATATACACATATGTAATTTATACACACACAATTACACAGCATATTTATATACATATGCAGTAATTGCATAATGGTGACAACTACCATTTACCAAACATCTTATGTTGTTTGTTGCCATTCTCGTAACCCAGTAAATTTGATATTCACGTAGTCACAGAGGTTCATAAAGGTTACCCAAATTGCTCAAGGAAACACAGTTTGTAAGTGGCAAAGCTGAAATTTTAACCTAAGTTTGTCTGTATCTAGAGCTGGCCATATATTTTTCCTCTGTGTTGCATTGCCTCTTTGAGAGATGTGGAAATTGCAACAACTTGAAACATATCCGAAGAATAGATTTAGTGAAGAAGAGATGACCAGCAATAGATGTTGCCAGACAAGACAGTGAAGTGGTTGATAGGAAAATATTTAGCAAGATTTCTTAAGAATTCATAGTAATTTTGGAGACGAAACAACTCCTGCATGAATCAATTAAAGAACAGGCCCTTCTTTCATTTAGAATATTTTGCAACTTACATTTGAAGCTATGGGCTCCTCAAGCAAATGCTTTTTCCACTGGTTTTTAATCCCTGTCCTGGTTCTCTTCACTATATGATAGGAAGGTTGACCAGAGAGATTTTCTGGCCAGGTTCTCCATGTACCTTAGATTGGGGTTAATATGGGATAACTGAATTTGACTATATTAAATTAAAAGAGCCCAGGGTGACTTACATTTCAATCTTTTCCAGTCTGAATTCCAGGCAGGCACTATGGTCTGTTATTCTGTTCAAGGAGTTCCACCATGTAAGTAGCAAAAGAATGCTGAGAATAAGTTTAAAATCAAAATGAATTGAACTCAGGGATTTAGGTGTACACTGGCATTTTTTTTAATGAGCTGAAGCCCTGACTAATGAAATATGCTTCATGTTGCACCAAAGTTTTTAATGTTAGTGACAGTCTTAGAAGCTATGATGTTTTTGACATTTTAGGAGCTTCCACATTAGTCTGAGCCAAGGTACCTCAAACTTCAATGTGCATACAAATCACCTAGGGATCTTGTTAAAATGCTGCTTCTGATTCTGTAGGCCTGAGATTCTGCATTTCTAACCAGATGGTGCCCACATTGCTGATTAGCAGAGCTCATTTAACTAGCAGAGGTGAAGATATTGAAATAACAAGACATAAATATGGGTGGAACATGGTTTTCTAGTCATCTTGCTGGCTTTTTGTCTTGGAATATATAGTATTTATATATATATATATATATATATATATATATATATATACACACACACACACATATACACACACACACACACACACACACATAGTGAAATTTATATAACACATAGAATATATCAACCATGAAAGGAACGTAATAGGTTGCCCAAAGTAGATTCTATTATACTTCAGGATGCAATGAGGAAATACAGAGCTGGCCAAGAAATATTCCATACTCATGGCAGTGCCTCTGCACTATCTGCGGTGGGAACCAGTTTTCTTCCCATTCTGTCTTAGACCAATAGTTAATAAAATATATAAATTACTAGAAAAAGATACAAAAATAAGTATAAAATATAGTTTTAAAGTTATTTTTGAAATGCTACATTCAGGGTTTGAAAAGAAAAATTAATTAATGTTTTTTAGGTCTGAAAAGAAAAAAATTAACATTTTTTAATTTCAACTGTCATAAAATTTTCCTAATTTCATATAAAAGTTTTATAATGCTAACTCTCAATTTCCATAACTGTTTCCTCAGAGACTGGCCCAATGTGCTGACCACACTATGAGCAGCATGGTTCTTGTAATGAGTAGTTCAGTAGGATACATAAATAAGTACATTTACCACAGGATTGCATATGACATGGTACAATGCTCTGCACACCACAAATACTTAGTAACAACCTGTTAACTGCTCACTGATGATTTTGGTTCCTTTTCATCTGAGTGATATTAAAATATTTTTATATTCTATATTTCCTTTCTGTTTAGATTCATTTAGTTTGCTCCCTTTGGCCTTTTGTTTTAAAAATGCGTCTAAACACCCTCGCCGTTACTGAATACAGAAAGAAATATAAGGTGAAGGATTATCCATCTTGTGTGAGGTGATTACAGCATAAAAGGACTATTATTTTAATAGGGCTTGACAGCTTCAGCAGAGAGTTGTCTGATAGCGACAAAGTTAGGAAGATATTTTTTTCCAGTCATGAATAGAGATAAATATACTTAAGTGATATGGGAGCAGGGATGTGATGATTTCAATGACTCTATCAGGTTCATTATGACTAATAAAAAATTAGTCATAAAAGAACATGTGTCATGTTTTCCAATATTAGAGAAGTTAACAATTAAAATATAAGTAGTGTGATATGAGTGAAAAATAAGAACCCATTTTAATATAGACTGGCCAGAAGAGATTACAATGCCATATTTGATGGTATTACCTTTTTCATCGTAAGAGACCTGGAGGGTGGGTAAAGAGATTGAATGTGTTTCACAATACAATATAGATGTTGTCTCTCAAACTCATGATCAGAATCAAAAGGAGGCAGTAAATAAGAGTATTGATTGGAGATAATTCTGGAGAGGTTATCTTTATAAACTGTGAATTAGAAAAGGTGAAACATACCTGCTGATTTGAACATTTGCCTCCAAAACAAAACACCTTTTCTGCTCCATGTACCAGTGTACCTTCTCTTCAGTGGAAATAAAGTCTGACATATTTGGCTTGAGTATTTAATTATTGTGATACTGGGTGTTCTTAACTGTGCCTCCCCACTGCAGTATTAATACAAGATGGGAATAAAGAAACTAGTCTTTCCCTTCTTTTACAGAGAACTCTTGTCCAAAGGGGTCATTGGAACCTGCTGGAGATGGTTTTTTCACAATCCTCATTTCATTTTCTGTTAGTCTTTGAGAAAAGTGAATATATCGCAATTTAGAAAATTGAGTAACACATTCAGAAATGACAACTCTGTACTTGGTTTTGCCAAGAGGATTCTCCAGATAATCTCCAAGATGTAAAGACTTAAGATGTCATCAAAAAACAAGGACTGGACCAGGAGCGGTGGCTCATGCCTGTGGCTCCCAGCACTTTGGGAGGCCAAGGCAGGCAGATCATGAGGTCAAAAGATGGAGACCATCCTGGCCAACATGGTGAAACCCTGTCTCTACTAAAAATACAAAAATTATCTGGGCATGGTGGCACATGCCTGTAGTCCCAGCTACTCGGGAGGCTGAGGCAAGAGAATTGCTTGAACTTGGGAGTTGGAGGTTGCAGTGAATGGAGATCACACCACTGCACTCTGGCCTGGGCAACAGAGTGAGACTCTGTCACAAACAAACAAAAAAACCACAAGGACTGGCTTTGAATATCCTGTTGTTTTGTTTCAAAATATGACATTTTCATTCATATTTCTTGGTTTTCTGTGGATCTTACATGATTTTCACAGGAATTCTCACTGTGAGAATTCCTTTTCAGACAACTAAATCTCTTTGTTATTGTTCATTGTTTACATGTTAAATAATATCAGTTTACTGTGGCTTATTTCCTGGATACACTTTCATTAGACAAATAATGAATGGGTTTTTAATTTCTCTTTGACATTCTTTCCTGTGGCCAGGTAAACGATGCTGGACCACCAAGACATGGACAGCCAGTTTGGGAGAATCTAATTTCTTCATTATTTTTTCTTAATACTATTTATTTCATAGAATCTGATAACGGAATATACTTTTTGGCATGACCTATATACCATTTATAGGTTTGTACAAAAGAGCAGTTTTTGCCATTGAAAGTAATGGCATATTACTTTTGCCATTGAAAGTAATAGCAAAAATCGCAATTACTTTATCCTGGTGCGTCTTTATGCTGAATAAGTTTCATGGTTAAAAGTATTGAAGCTAATCAAATTCTGGTTCTACCCTTTACCAGCCATGAGAACTTAGGAATGCCTTTTTAGCTTTTCTGAACTTCAGTTTTCTCATCTTCAAGATGATTGTAATGACCAAATTTACATCACAGAGTTTTCCTGAGTGTTAAATGAAATATAACCTTTTAAATCCTTACCACAGAATCTGGAATATATAAACGACAAATAGTAGCAACTATTTGTGAGCCTTTATTTACATATTTACAAAATTTATATGAGGTAGATGACATTAACTCTCTTTTATCTATAAGGAAATAGGCTAAGAAATGTTAAATAATTTTGACATCACACAGCATGTTAATCCAAACTATTAAACCAATCAGAGGTATTGTCTTTCCTCTACATTATTCAGAAAATACCCTTTCCTATGCAATACTGTAGTTGGGTACCTCTAGCGTCCAGCAGTATCTTTGGGCCTGAATGCCACCTATTCCTCTCATACCTATTCTATTGTTTATTTCCTGGATGTAAGAGCTAATGTTTATTAATCCACTAGTTACAGACCTGTGGATTTATATACATAATTCTGATTTTAGCTATTTCATATCTAAAGTGTATTGAATAAAAATGTGAATTTCACTTCTACCGAGTGTATGCAATAATATTATCTTTTAAATTTTCAGCAAATTTTGAAGCCTGTGAACCATAGGGATATCTGACATGATGGAACTCTGAAAATAAATATACATGTTTTTCTTTTGCCCTCCACGGCTTCCACCACAGTTGGGGATTGCCATGATCCCCAAATGGTGGCCAGATAGTGGTACAATGTGACTTTCTTGGAGTAATTATATCCCTAAATCCGGATCGAATAAGAGACTAAGGGGACCCAATAGTTCAGATCCACAGTCTTCCCATAATGATCTCCTAGAATTAGGTTGTTGTTGTAGTAGATAGAAATGATTGACCATATAGCATCTGTAAAGCCAAATAGGACAAACTGACTAAAGCTAAAATGTCAAGAGAAGCTTCCAGTTTGGAAATCAAGGATTAGAACAAAGCCCAAAGGGGTTGGAATTTTCAATAAACAGAAATAAGTCCTTAATCTACATGCAAGGGCATTTGTTCTATCAGGACCACGGTAAGGCAATCCAGATAGTTCAAGACCAAAACACTGGAAAACAAATAATGTCGACTTCCTTCTGGGGAGGGTTTGTTTGGCAGCTGCTCACCCTTCTATGATTCCTCTTGGGTTTATATAGCTGTGGGTTGCCTCTTAAAAGTATAAATGAGGTCTTTTGGTAGCTGTCAATCCAGAGTAATATAAAGTTCTATTTATGGTAGCACTAAAAGAGGAGCCAGTGACTATATATTTAACAAACTGTTAGATGTTGGAACCTAATAAATTATCTCCCCCCAAATCTATCTCAACACCAATTCATCAAGAGAACTTGGATTGCTGTTATGAGTTCAGAGGCCCCTGTTGCTCTTCTCCATAGCAAGAGTATATGACTTTCTCAAACCTGACTTAACGATACCAATTTCAGGTAACTACTGGAAGTCAACATTGTTTCAAGCAGTAAATCTTAAAAATCAACTGTACAGACTCTAGTCTATATTTTCTGAGTTCACTCCAGGCTCTGCAATTTACTAACTCTGGCCATCAGCAAATTATTCAATTATGTTAATCTCTATATATTTAAAATAGGAATTGTAAGACTACAAGCCTCAGATGACTGTTGTCAGAAGATAAAATGAGATAAAGCACATTAAATGTTCCAAATGATGATTGTCATCATTAATAGTGTGAGAGAAAAATAAAGTATTCAAAACCGATGGATGCATCAGGAACAGGCATGAAACTAAGAGGCCAGGCAGACCTCTGAAAATTATATGAGAGCAAAATTTTCTGATGTAAGAGTACGAGGCATTCTCACGTGAAATGGGTAAATAATGCAATGATAATTTCTTTAAACAATTTATCCTGAGAAAGACATTAAATTATAAAAAGGTATTCCTTTAAAAAATGTATCCAAAGTGAGAAATTGACAAGAATCAGAAGCAGAATGTCAAAAGAAAGGGAGCTACTGTCTGTTGCCCAACAATGAGCAAAGAACCAGTTTAAAACTTTTGCTAAACCATTGTAATGAATCCATCCCATCATCTCTGAAAAATCAATTTTCTGAATCATCATGGAAATAAAATTATTTGGAGTTTAAGAAATAGTGTTTTGGTGAGAAGAAGCTTCACAACTTTAGTAAGACTGGGTACTGAAGCTATAAAAGGTCTTTGTGAGAGAATGTTGCCTTGCTCAAACAATATTTCCAGCAGACTTCATTTGGGAAATTTAATCCACAGAAATAAGTACATCAGGTTTTATATATAAAGAAATTCATTTCAGTATTTTTATGGCAACAAAAATAAATTGAGATTATGCAGAAAGAGTGGCAAAAGTATATATAATAATTTATTATATAAAATATGCAACTATTAAAAGGAATACATTAGATAAATATGCATTAATAAGGGAAGGAAGTAGAAAGAAAGAAGGAAGAGTGGGAAAAAGAAAAGAAGTGATATCCCTGAATTTCTAAACTTGACAAATCAAGAAGCCCATTTCAACAAATCGGGAAAACCATGATAGTTTTCCCCAGAGTTTATAAAAAATGTTCCAGGTTGTTGGTTTTCTAGAGTTTATAACATGATTTAAAGCTGCAGCACTCACACTGACTGTTGAATGAGAAGCAGTATACTCACCTAGATATCTGTGAAACTTCTTAATTTTTTCAATATCAGCCTATTTACATTTGTGCATAGTTCCCAGCTGTGAATCTGTAGTCCTTGTACTCTCACAGAATTAAGTTCTCATTTGAGAATATGATTAAAAAAAAAAAGAACGTAGCACATATACACAAATATAACTGAGGGAATCTGTGTGAGAATGAGGCCAATAAAGTAGAACCAAGATAGGAGACAGAGCTCCGATGATATTGTTGGATAGGCCTGTGCTGAAATTCAGCTCAATTTTCAGATATTCAGATAAAATAAGCCAATACATTCTACTTTGAGCATGCTTAGGTTGGGTTTCTGAGACTGCAGGTAAATTCCTTCTTTATCTAGTAGGAAGAAGAGATTGGTAAAGGTATGATTAGGTGTTGATTTGGTGGCAGAAAGTTGGGATAATACCAATCTGTTGGCATCAGTTTTCTATATTAAAAGAAGTTAAGGTTATTCCTGAGAGAATAAAAAGATTATGGAGTTGGTTGTAACAAACAAGGAAAATTTGAAAGGGAGTGGGAGAGTGCTGAAGAAAGAAACACAATGTAATGTGCTGGTTAAATTAATTTCTTAAGATCTAATTTCAAACATACATTTCTTATTTTATTCAAAAACATATAAAAGCCTAGCAACCTAGCAACTATTTAAAAGAAAATTAGAAAATACCCAAAATCCTACTACCTTAGGACACTATTTTTTACTATCTAAATCTCTTCTCATGAGCAATATTATTCTGTGTGGCAAAGATTTTGCCATTTTGTGATCTTCCCTTTCTCAGTTAACCAGAACTCATATTGTACATGTAATTATTGTCTTAATAAGTAGATTGATTAAAATATAAAATGAAAATCCATTACTTCCTGGTTTTAATTACTACAAAAATACAAATAGTATTTCCTTGGTATATTATTATAATTTTAAGTACTCATGTATTTTATTTTTTAATCTATATAATCATGAACATCTTCATATACAGTGGTAAATATGGAATTTCACTGTTTTCCTTTCTTTCCCTTATAGTTACTCTGAAAATATATCCAATATATTTAATCACTTTTTTCCCTAGGCTACTTCTTCAAAAGATGTCACTAACAACTTGAATTCTATTTCCTAGTTCCTGTGGATTCTATTTAGTCATAGCATATATTTAGTCCCTTTCCTCCTGGGCCACTTCTTTAAAAGATGCCACCAACAACTTCAATTCTGTTTCCTAGTTCTTATTTCCTGTATGAATCATTCTCATTTGTGTCACTGTACTGTAATGACAAAAAGACATTTGACAAGAAAAACATCAAGTACATTTTTCAGCCAGGTTCCAACAACTGTACTTACAAAACTACGTAACCTTAACATATATTTATATGTTAAGAAATTTATATGTTATTTATATGTTAAGAAATTTGATATATTCTTATCAAATTTACATAGATTTGTCTTTCTAAAATTGTGTAAAAAGAAGGGCTACCGGTAACCAATACAATACAAACAGGGAAGCAATTCCATGTTACATGTGGGCCCACTTATAAATACTGCTGCCAATACTACTACATGCTAAAACATTTTATCTCTAAATATAATCTCCTTATTGATATCAACTTTTATGGGAAGAATGATAATATGCATTTTTACAGCCAACTGAAATTTCTAATGCACTTTTGTTTTAAAGAGGAAGTCTTGCTATGTTGCCTAGCCTGAACTTGAATTCCTTGGCTCAAGGGATCCCACCACCTCAGCCTCCTGAGTAGCTGGGTCTACAGACATGTACCACTGTGCCTGACTCCAATGCACTTTTAACTTCAATTTTCTGTGTTCTTCCTTACAATCATCCTGGGGAGCAGATATGACCATTAATCTGCTTCTTCAGATGTAAAACCTGAGGTTCAAGGAAATTCGTTGATATATCCAATATCACACAGCTAGAAGTAGCTGACTCAACAGCTGCATTTTCTGTTATATAACACCGCTACGAGTTAGGGAGACAGATGTGAATTCAAATGTTTGCTTCAACATTTATTGCTTGTAATTCTAACCAAATTCACATATTTATGCTGGTCTCTGAAATTTTAGAGAACATTGTCTACATTGTGGATCTGGTAAAGATTTTATATCACTCCACTGAAATTTTTTAATGTAAAGTCATCAACTACCATTTTATTGACAATTTCAGTAGATGCTTTTTAACCTTCTGCTGTATTTGTCATTACTGTCTTTTTCTTACTGAAGTACTCCATTCTTTTGATTTTTGAGACATCATAGTATCATAATCACTTTTCCTCAGTCTTCTTAAATATTTTGTTTCCCCTCAAAGTTCCATTCTTCACTCTGTCCCTGAGAAATCTACACCTTCTCCCTATGTAATCTCACCTTCTGCATGCCTTGTCATCCATGTGTTGCTATTTCACTGTATTTGGCTAAATTGTTTCTCCCAAAAAGATATGTCTAAGTACCTGAGCACCTGAGAATATGACTTTATTTGTAATAGGGACAGGGGGCAGAGAAATTCAAGGCAGAAAAGGGCAGGTGCCTGGCAAAACCCCACCCTCAAGCCAAAAAGCCTGAAACTGTGGCTCAAAGTGAGAACTTCTATCCCTGTTTTCTGGCTCGAATGTTGCCTTTTCCTAAACCACCCATGGCCCCACCCTGCCCCATCCTGTGCCTATAAAAACCCAACTCAGCTGCTAATTGGGACTACAGCTGGACATCAGAGAGAAGTAGCTTGACATCAGAAGGACAGCTTGACAGCGTAACTTTGGAGAAGAATCCAGCTGGAGATGGCCAGACTTCGGGGAAAGATCGTCTACCCACCCAGTCCCCTTTCCAGTTTCCCTTCCCACTGACAGCCACTTTCACCAGCAATAAAATCCCCCACATTTACCGTCCTTCAATTTATTCTTGCAGCCTTTTTTTCCCAGATGCCAGACAAGAGCTTGGGAGCCACAAATGTGGATATGAAAGGCTGTCGCACTGACTCTCTGCTCTTGCTGACTCAGGGCAACCACCTCATGCAGAAAGGCAAAGGGCTCACTGAGCTGTTAATACTTAAGCTAAAAAGCACTGTAACACACCCTCTGTGGCTTCAGAAGTCACAGGCACCCCGACCTGGATACTGCAGTGGGGCCTGCTTGGAGTTCATTCCTGCTGGCGGCAAATTGTCCGGCTGGTTCCTGCACCTGCTCACCTGTGTGCTCCCTCCTGTAAGGGGTAGAACACAATGGGTCCAAGTGAGTGGAGTTTGGTCCTGCCAGCACCGAAGGGGCTGGCCGGTTCCAGTGTTCATTCACTCCAGTTCCCACACTTGTTCGCTTGTGCACTCCTTTCTGTGAGGAGTTGAGAGCAGGGGGCTGAGTAAATGAAGCACCCCTGTTGTAAGTCCTGCAAAGGGGTCAGGGAAATCCCACTTCATCTGGAAATAAAGTATTTGCAGATGTAATTAAGAACCTCAAAAAAAAATCATCCTGGACTTAGGGTGGCCTCTAAATCTAGTGACTTGTGTCTTTAAAAAGAAGAAGACACACAGATGTAGAGAAGAAGTCAATGGGGCAATGTGAAGATGGAGGTAAAGACTGGAGTGATGTGTCTACAAAACAAGGGATGTCAACGATTGGCAGTAGAGACTAGAAGCTAGAAGAATGATGTAAAACAGCCTCTCCTCAAGAACCTCCAGAAAGAGCCAACCCAATGACACCTTGATTTCAGACTCCTAGCTTCCAAAACTGTGAAAGAATACGTTTCTGTTCTGTTAAGCCACTTAATATATGCTAATTTGTTACAGCAGCCCTAGAAACTAATACATTCCCTAACCTACCTTTTTAGCCCAATTTATCGGCTATATCAATGTTGTGTCCCCAGACAGATAAACCTTTTGTCCAAAGCTGAGATTTTCACATGCTATCCCCAAACTTGCTCTGTTCACTACACAAGGGCAAGACCATGTGTAGTCATAGCAATATCATCACTTAAGTAATGTCTTCTGTTCCTAGGGCTTCAGTCCAATGAGAAGTCTATGCAAATAACTATCAAATATATGTCTATAATCCTGATCTGTATTTCTAGCTCTGAATCAGTAAACTCTGCTACCTACTCAACAGTTCTTTCTCCTTGGTATTTGAAAAACTACTTGTACCTAATATAACAAAAGAACAAATTGTGATGGTTCCTCCACTCCAAGCATAATCCTCTTGGTTCTCTAAATCAGCTTCCTCAGTGTTTCCACCTTATATAAGCTTGAAAAAAACAGAAACCTAAGAGCCATCCTTTACACTTAATTCTCCCTAAGTCATTCCCAAAATATAGCCCACTTATGTTCAGTAACTCTTTAATGTACATCTCCAGTCCCTCTTATATTCAATAACTCTTTAATGTGTTAACTTCTATCTCTGCTACCATCTCTTTGTGACCCACTTCTGTCATATCTTCCACAGATTCTTGCAATAGCCTCTGGCCCAGTGAACTACAAATATTTTTGCTTTTTCCAATGGCGAATCCAAAGAAAAACTAGATTGGTCCTTTTGATTACAATAGTGATCACATTTTACCTCAACACATCTACTTCTACTCTTTGAAATACCTGAATGGATTCCTGTCACTTTTTTTATCCAAAGCCTGAAAAAGTCCTCAAGACTCTGTTGAGTCTGGCCCAATTCCTCAACCTCTAGTCAAAAAGCACTTTCCTGTTTTCCACCCACAATGAGATACCACTAGCTTTAAAAATGCATCATGCTGAATTCTGAATCTTATCTGCCTGGGATGCTCTTTCTCTTGCTTCTTGATTGATAATGTCTACTATCTTTTACATCTTAGCCTAAAAGTTACTTTCTTAGAAGAGAGTTCCTTTTTTATTATTTATTTATTTATTTATTTATTTATTTATTTATTTATTTATTTTTTGAGACAGATTCTCGCTCTGTTGCCCAGGCTGGAGTTCAGTGGCGTGATCTCCACTCACTGCAAGCTCCACCTCCCAGGTTCAAGCCATTCTCCTGCCTCAGCCTCTCAAGTAGCTGGGACTACAGGCACCTGTCACCATGCCTGGCTAATTTTTTGTATTTTTAGTGGAGATGGGGTTTCACCGTGTTAGCCAGGATGGTCTCGATCTCCTGACCTTGTGATACACCCACCTAGGCCTCCCAAAGTACTGGGATTACAGGCATGAGCCACCACACCCAGCCACTTAGAAGAGACTTTCTTATTCCCCTAGACTAGGCGAGGCTCACCTATTCTATGTTCTTCTAGCATTATTTTTCTTTATTCTATGGAAGTCTTCATAGAATTCCACATTTATATGAATGATTGTTGGATTAATATTGGTCTGATCTCATATTCAGGATATGAGAATATGCCTGTCTTCTTTATTGTATTTCTATTGTCTTTGTTAAGCATAAAGCTGGCAAGAGGAGAAGCTAAAATAATTGCTGAACAAATGCTATTGAATAATGTGCAAAACACGCTTGGTGTGGGTATGAAACCATGAACACATCAATCACCATGTCTGAAATTATAGAGCTGTGATCTATAGAGATTATTGGAAATACCAATTTCCGTATCAGAGCTGGAAGTTGGGACTTTGATTCAAAATATGGCAGCATAGTACAAGGTAGCTGAATGAGGCACAAACTGGAGCTCCAGTTAACTCTCTATTATCTAGCCCCAAACTATGTCACTGCAATGGAGGGGTGCAGAAAAACTGAGCCCCTCCATGGGGACACTGCTAATTTATGGAAATGTTCAACATCCAGGACTGCTTGTATGTTTCTTCCAGAGAGATATTTATTACTACCAGTGAAGGAAAATACAATAAATACAATTATTCAAAAACCAATTTCCCTGGTCAGTTCCGTTATACACTGCTGCTACTATCATGAATATTTGTGTTTTAAATAAGTGCTTTTTCATTCTTAACACCTTCTGCTGCTACTATGTGATTTCAAAGCTAAGAAAACAGGTTACCTGGCTGTATTGATGAAGAGGTCTAATATATCTTCTTAGGGGATTTTATTTCCAGTGTGTTAGAGTGTTACTTGTTTATGAAGAAAATTTCCCATTTTTGTTGGGAGTACAATGTCTTTCAGAAGAAAAAAGAGGGCCTACTTTAATTTTAGGTAGCAAATGAAGTTGGACATTTGGGAGGAACAGGCCATGAAATGTACCTCTAGACAAATCTAGAGAAAGAACTTTATGATTAAATCAGGGCTAAAAATGAGAAAGCTAATTTCTCCATCTGATTTTTTTTCTAATTATCATGGTGAATAGGATTTAATTCCTGAGCTGGAGCTCCAGCTATGATACTTTTCAGCTATCAAGTCTTGCCTACTTTAACTTTTGGGGTTTCTTCTTCCTCAGGTCTTACATGGTGACAGTAATTCCATGCCTGGCTTTCTCTGAGGAGGGTTAGGCATCTCCTATTCAATAATAAATTTGAAAACATAGTATACATTATTAAACAATATACATGTCAGTAGTTAGATTTTATTACTATAATGAAATATAGACCAAACTCACCCTTTCACCTCTTTATCTGCCTAATTTCTATGCATACATTAGATCGCCCTTAAATATTCCTTCATCTAGGATTTTTTCCTTGCCTTTGACCCACCCTTAATCATGTCCATGGTGTCCTACTATTCTGAGAGAATCATAAGTCTCATGGTAATTGTGCATTTAGCTCCCTGTCTTCTTCATTAGACAGAAAACATATTAAATACAAGGACCTTTCTTATCTTACAAACCACTCTACAATCAGTGTCTTACAGAACACCTAGTATATATTGAGTACTCAATAGACAGTTTTAGATGTAGGCATGGTGAGAACAATGGAAAACATAAGTCTATAAAAGATGTTGTCTAAATAGAATATCATAAAATGGCACGGCCAGGAGTTATTTTATTTTTGGTGTTCAGTGAAAGAGATAATTTAAATTTGACAAATTATTAGCACAGATTAATAAGTCTCACCCCTAAATATCTATGCCTGTAGAGTTATTCACCTATTGCTATCAAATCAGTTATTTTTCCTTATTAATATTAACTCATATGCTGTTTCTTTAAATGCAATCATTTTCACCAAAAAATTAAAGGAATAAGATTAGTAATAATCTTCAAATGGTGACAAGATTTGTAGTTATATTTAGCATTACCTTGGGGACCATATTTTGACAAGTCCTAAATGCCACTCTTTTCTCTCTGTGGCCTTGTAAACAGATCTATTGATATTACCTCTTCATTTCAGTTGGCCACTCCTAGAATATGAATAGGCATGTTTTTTTCCACAAGACCTTTTTTTCCACAAGGACTAATTAGCTAATGTTTGTAGAGTGCCTCCAAGATAATAAGTACTATGGAGATGCTAAGTGCCATTATGATGAAGCTGTGCCTGTGGGATACTCTGAGACAGAAACTGCTTGAGAATGTGTTGCAGTGCAAAGCTGAGTGGAATGGAGTAGCAGTTCCCCCTAGAATGCAAAAGCTTGCACCAAAAAGAAAAAGCTTTCTGAAAATATATGCCTGAGATAACTTTCTCAGAAGCAGGTGAAACTTTGAGAGTGGTGCTGGCTAAATTAAAAAGTTGCATACCACTCTAAGTCAGAAGCACATTTCCCTTCTACTGCCTGCTTCCTTAGGGAACTAGAAAAATATAAACACAGCTGCTATGGAACTTTGGGCTTTCTAAGGACAAGAGAATTTAATTTCCTTCTCTATATGAAGACTGCCTGATATGGAAGTGTCCCACTCTGATCTGAGCCTAATCCTTCTTCAGTGTAATCAGGATATGTGTACTAGAGCTGTGGCAAAAAAACATGACAGCAGGCTTGAGCCCCTAACCTGCAACCTTTCCTCTTTCGGTCCTGACTTTCTGTATTTTGTCCTTTCTTCCAAAAGTACTACTGATTGTCTACTACTTTCAGATACTGTCCTAGGTAGAGACATGAAGGGGAATGGAATAAAGAAAGGACCTCTTTTTTTCTTCGATATCAATGTACTCATCTGGATGTCCAGTTCTTTCCTTCTTCTTCAGGTCGAATCATGGATTCACGAAAACATAGCATATTTTGTCCTAAAAGAGATTTTGAAGACCCTTATTCAACATATGATAAATCTGAGATGTGTATGTGTGTGTGTATTATCACCAGTACCAATACTACTACTAACACTAATGGTAATAGTATTGAAGATGATTATGATAATGATGATGATAAGGAGGATGATGAGGATGATGAAGATAATGTTACCAAACCCTATTTACCATGGGGCCTAGGTTTGGGGTAGGTATCCTTAAATCATATTTCTATATTGAGAAAGCTTCTCCTTCTCCTTCTAGAGAGAAATACAGCTCTTCTGAAGTACATTCCCTCAGATTATACCATCTAGCCATCCTTTTATATGGAGTCACATACAGACCTCTCAAATGTTCTTTAACTATTCGAGGTTTTAGTACTGAGTCACTGTGTCCTTGATGATTTGAACATTTACAGATATGATTTACTCAGCAGTTTAGTATCTCAGTTCTTGATTGTCTCAACTCAAACTCTATTTTTCCTTACACTTCTTTAGCTATTGTTTCAATAAATGTACACTAGACTTTATTATGATCTGTAGCTGTACCACCTTTAAAATCTTAGTTTTAAATATCAAAATGTATGATAAAGATTCCAACTAATTTATTATGCCCCCCACACTCTGGCAATTAATCACTCTCATCTTTAGTCCAATTAATTGATCTTACTATTTATTTTATTTGCCATAAACTCCATCAGGTCTTCCACTCTCTCATTCCCCAGTTTACCTTAATAATGAAAACCACTCCCTTATGCACAGTTTTAACTCCCATACTTTACCTCTTTCATCTGCCTTCTCCTTCCCCACTTTGATTGTATTTCTCTGTCAAAATCTAACTCTTCACCTATGCTTTTCCTATTACTAAACATAATTGGAGGAAACTGATAGCCATGCTCTTTAGTTTTTGAATTTTTTACCACAAGCTACAGATGAGAACTCATCTACTAGCCAATTCACCCTCTCACTTTCTACTGACTGTTGACTGATAGTCTTATGTCTTATTTTGCTGAGAAAATAGAAGCAATTATAAGTGAACTTATCTAATTTGCCCACCACCAAATCTATCAATAATCCTTCATCTGTACCAAAGCATTTATCTTCCTTCCTGTTACAATCAATGAACCCTACATTCCTAAGAATAAGTCTTACATTTGCACACTGATTCTTACATTGTCATCAATGTAACAACATGGTTCTGAAATTTAATATCTTTGTTTGTCATCAGTTTATCTTATTCTACTGAATTATGTCCATCAGAATGAAAATCTACTGTAATATGTTCCATCAAAAAATAAAACAAAACAAAATGCCTACACCCATTGTTTCATGAAGCATCGCAAATATCTGATGATTTCTCTGCTCCATGTTATAGCAAAACTTCTCAAAAGTATAGACTGCACTGATTTTCTTCTTTTCATCTCACCTTTTCTCTTGAATCCACTCTCTTCAGGCTTTACTCCACACAACTTCACTGAAATTACCCTTGTTACAAGCGACCACCATCTTGCCAAACTCAAATGCCAAATCTTAGTCCTTGTTGACTTCTCAACAGCATTTTACAAAATAAATGTCCTTCTTGAAACATTTCCTTCACTTGACTTCTGGAACGCAGAATTCTGGCTTTTTTTCTGCATCATGCACACCTCCTTCTCAGTATTTTTAGCTAGCCTCACTTCATTTTCCTTATTAATAAATGCTGGAGCAGTTCCAGGATCCAGTCTTGGAACTCATCTCTCCTTTATCTTCACTAGTCCCTGAGATGAACTTATCTAATTGTATGCTTTTAAATATCATCTACCTGCTGAACATATAGTTCTAGCTGTATACATCTCCCATGTTTCAAGCTTATATATACGCCTTCCCACTCACCAGCCCCTTGCAATTGTAATCTGCCTCTCAACTATATCATTTCCAAGGCAGAGCTCTTCATTGTTCACTACAACTTTTTCTCACTCCCTGTCTTCCTTATTTTAGTGATAGGCATCACTGTGTACTCAACTACTTGACCCAAGAAACTTACTGCCATTTTTAACTTTTCTCATTTTCTTATTATACCCCTATTCCAGACAATCTGAAACACCTGCCAGATTTATCTTCAAAATATATCCTGAAGCATTTTCCACCATAATAAAAGCCACTTGTATCTATCACTAATACCCGTGTGAAGTCTTCTGAAGTGGCCTCACTGGCCTTCATGTTTGCCCACTTCACTCAATCATCCTCAAAGCAGCCAGCATGAATTTTGTAAAATTTATAATAGTTTATGCCACACTTCTCCTCAAAATCCTGCAATAACCATTCATACTGTTTAAAAGGTGCTATATCGTCTGGCTCCTATGTATGTCTCCAATATCTTCTCTTACCCATTTAGACATTTGGCCTTCTTCTTGGTATTAAAATACACCACACTTATTATTGCATCAAAGTTTTTCATTGTTGTTCCTCTTGCCTCAACATTCTTTACTAGACTGATCTTCATATATCCCTTTTCCTTATCCCTGACTCTTCTGTGACAACCCTATCTAAAATCAAATGTCTCTATTAGTCATCGTATTAGCCTGTTCTCACACTGCTAATAAAGACATAGCTGAGACTGGGTAATTTATAAAGGAAAGGGGTTTAATTGACTCACAGTTCCACATGGCTGGGGAGGCCTCACAATCATGGTGGAAAGCGAATGAGAAGCAAAGTCATGTCTTACATGATGGCAGGCAAGAGGGTATGTCCAGGGGAGCTCCCCTTTATGAAACCATCAGATCTCATGAGACTTATTCACGATCACAAGAACAGCATAGGAAAGACCCACCTCCATGATTCAATTACCTCCCACTGAGTCCCTCACATGACACATGGGAATTATGGGAGCTACAATTCAAGATGAGATTTGGTTGGGGACACAGACAAACCATATCAGTCATTTTCCATTGTCTCATGTGGCTGGATTTTTATTCATATTACTTACATGACTTTTCATTATATTATAGGCTTATTTATTATTATTCATTTCTTTACAACAAATAAGTTCCATAACATAAAGATTTATTCATATGTAATTTAATGTGCATTTCTGACACTGTTCTAGGCTGTTGTACATTAATGTACATAATGTACATTACATCTTTGTACATGACTTCTACATACATAATGAACAACAATCTAGAACAGTGTCAGGAATGTGGTATGCTCTCAACAAATGTTCATTGAATAAATTAATCAATGAATCTTAACATTTAGTTCATCTATTACGTTAACTATTAACTATTAACATTAGTTCAACATATAATTAATCAATGAATCTTAACATTTAGTTCATCTATTATACTGATATGAGAGTATCTTCTATGGGTATGCACAGAGTAAACTGAGTTATCAGACTGTTTAGCTACTATTTCAATAAATGTACACTAGGCCTTATGATCCAAAGCTGTTCCACCTTTAAAATCTTCATTTCAAACATCAAAATGTACGATAAAAATTCCAACTAACTCAGTCTGAAACTGAATTATCAGACTATTTACTGTTCTTAGGTCCTTTCAATACCCAAAATTTTAAAAGCAGTTTTTCAATGTCTTACATTTTTAAATTGTGGGTTACAACCCATTCAAAGTGCCCTAAAATCAATTTGGTGACTATGACCAGTATTTTTGAAAAATGAAAAAGAATAGAAAATACTATGGGATATTACATATATTGTAACGTTTCATGAAATGTTTCATAAAACATTGGTTTTAGTAGTATACAAGTTGTGAAAAATGATCAGAGTCAAAAAGAGTCACTAATCTTAACAAAGTCCTAAAAACTAGAATCAGGAAAGGCCATGAGGAGAGAGTTTACATCCTTGAATGTCTGATAACAAAAAACACTACAAAGACCATAACCTTTCATAAAGGCCATCACAACCTTACACAAAAATACTTCTATAAGAACATCTGCCTAGAAATGGCCTGTCCAATTTCAGACTAGCACCATCCTTGTTATTAATTATCCCTGTAGCCAAGAATAATTATTTTAAAACAACTACATTATTCTCCTTATGTTTTTCCTTTAAAAACCTTTGCCTTTTCTGCCTCCCCGAATATACATAGTTTACCATGGCATGTGTAGTCCCTTTGCAATGCCGTATTTCCAAATAGACATTGTTTTCTATTAGAGAGTGTTTCTGTTTGTTATTCAGGTTGATATATATGATGTCAGAAATAGGATCTTCAGTTCACTATCTGAAGGAATTAGCAATTCTCAGAACTGGTGTGTAGTACACACTTGAGCCCTCCACTTTCACAGCGTGCTTTTTTTTGCCCTGGTGAGTCTTAACTCAGATCAATTCTCCCTCCTATTGGTAGAGATTTTTTGACTTTACTTGGTTTCTGGTTTGGAAAAGGCCATCTTAATAAAGGACTATATATACCTCCTGGGATGATAAAAGTCTTTTCATCTTTTCTGGTAGTAAGTCCTTTTTAGTATAAAGATAAGAAGTGTCTTTCTAGATTAAATATTCTTTTTTAATACAGAATTTACATTCTATCTGTGAGATATGTCTTCTCTGCTTTGCATGCCTAGTTCAATATTTTGTTTCATTTGCATGCCTGGGTTAAACTGTTTTGAACACATTCATCTTAGTTTATTTTTATTTGGGTTGACTGCATTCCCTTGCTTTTATCTACAAATATTTTAAGAGCAAAAATAAACATTCTGGAAGGGAATTCAGAATGGCTGAAATAAAAGCCACTAGGGTAGTTGCTATCATCTAAAACACTGGTCTTAAATTCTGACATTTTCTGACAGGATTTATAGGATTTTCTTTGTTCCCAAGGGATTAATAAGAAATGAAATGAAATTCTTAAACTTAAGGCATGCCAAATTTTCTTGAACTCCAGTCAGCTACATATTATGGCCTATACTTGTGCGTATTTTTAAACTGATAGACAAACTACATCAAGGATAATTCAGAACTGTTCATATTATCAATGACCATTCGGAGATGGTCATTATTTAAAAAACCTGCAGCTGTAGGGGAAACATATGGTGTCTTCTAATTTTTCTGTTTCTCTCTCTCTGTCTCTCTCTCTCTTTTTCTGTCTACTTTGAATCTGCTGACTTTTCTACTAGTGTTGAGAAAAAAACTCACTGTTTATGGAATTCCAGCCAAGATTAAAAAGGAAAAAAATCTTAAAAGTCCTTCAAATTAATGGCCTTAGAAATCACAACCTCTCTGTGGTAACCAACAGCCTAGACACCTTTTAGAAATATAAATTCATATTTGTCTAACAATTGTATACAATGATGGAATGCTTAATTTAAAAATTAATAATCTAAAAAATACTAGATAATTGTTTATAAATGTTAGGCTCTCTGGTCAAAATCTTGAGCTTAGCACAATAATACATCTCTGTCTAGCAAAAAACTTTAACTTTTTCTGCCATAAAAAGCTAAAAGGAAAAGGCGAAAAAAAAAAAAAAACTGCTAAAATTCTCACCTAGGTGCATTTGGTAATCAAGCAAACTAGACCAGCCAACAAAAGACAGATTTGTTATAAATGTAAGTCTTCTTAGAGGTTTTGTTTTTCTTATACAATTCAGCCAGTCCTAGCTAAACATAAATTTTAAAAATTTAACCCTAAACTTATTTTAAATTGATTTACAAAAAAGGGTAAAAGAATTTTTTTTTTACTTAAATAAATGAAACTACCATGGAAATACCTTTACCCAAAATTTTAATCTACAGGCTTTATTAGATTACCTGTAAAGACAAATAAAGTTTAGCTATGTAAACAGGTCTCAATTTTGTCAGAAATATAATTTGGATCTAAGTGTCTGTTATAAACTAGTGAGTTTTTGTTTGTTTTGTTTTGTTTTACTGTCTTATGACTAAAATTCAAAAGTGAAAGCTATAAGGTCTTTATTTGTGTGTGTATGTATGTTTAGATGGGTTTACATATGTATATGTTCATGTATTATGTTATATGGTATGTCCACATGGTCAAAGCTGGTATAGTTGTTCAAAAATATTGTAAGGATAAAAGAATGTTCATATACAAGATAAAATATATAGTAATTAACCTAAATGCCTTTAGTTTGCATGACTCCAGTAAATTGTTAATAAATAAGCTGGTTTTAAAATTATTGGTAAAATTTTAAAAAAGGTCTTCAGAATTCTCAGCATGTATTTTTACCTGGATTTACTGTTCAGACAGCTTTATATGTGTCTCTGCTATATATTTAAGGTGTCAGGGTTTGAGACAAAGATTATAAAACTATACATCTAGCCTAAAATAGAATGATCTTTGTGTAATTTTTTGATAAGTAAGACCTATTTAACATTATTAGTTTAGTGAAAATAGCTGTATCTTCTGGGTTATCAAGTAAAAATTTTTACTTAGGTGAACAGCTAATATTCACAGGCTATAAAAATAGTTAACCAGGAAAGTAAAATGATTAACATCTTTGTCTAATACTGTTAAAAGTAAATAAGTTAGGTAAATGTAAATGAGATAAACATTTATAAATAAATGTTTCATGTAATTTGAAATCTTAAAGTTACATTAAATAATAGATATTCATTAAATGCTGGATTATTTCCAAATAAGATTAAAACAAATTATGTTACAGGGAAGTATGTTTCTAAAATTATAAAATGCTTCTTGTCTATAAAATATTGACATGTTACAGACAATTCAATATTTCTTGCCTCCTAGGTCTTCACTAAATTTTAAACTTAATAAGAGTTAAAAATTCTAATTTATATATATAATTTTTATATAACTATATATAAATATATAATTGTATAAAGTGTGCCAAAAGATAAGATATGTTTTTAATTTTTAAAAATTATGACTAAGGTATAAAAATGTGATATTTATTGAAAAAAGTATAATTTGTTCTTATTCAGAAGTTATTTGAAGGTTGCTTTAAAATATAAATTTAGGAAGGAAATAGAAGCAACAGAGAAAGAAACCAAACGTAGGAGAGAGAGATGTGGGGAAAGTTACAGATATGAAAATGTATTTTTGATAAGAAAGGCTAAAATGAAGAGAAAAATTTTGTATAAAAAAGAATCCTGTATGGTAACTGTTTCTCCTAAAGTAAAATAACAGATTATTTAAGAAAGAGAAACTATAGGACAAAAGAGAAATCCAAGCATGCCATATATGGTCTGTGTAAGTCATAATAAGATTCATGAAAAAGAAACTTATGAAAGGAGTTATGTGTGTGATCAAGTTGGCTAGAATTAAAAGGTGATTATTTATAGTAGTCTTTCTAATGATAGATTTTTTATATTAAAAACACATTCATACCAAACTAAAAAAAAATGGGTACCTAATGTTAGAACAAGGTTTCCTTAAAGCATTGATTTACTTTTAGTTATATTGCACGAGGTATTAATTTTTAATTTGGAAATGTTTCTTTTTGAAATTTCTCACATGTATCTCAGAAATTCAACTTTTGTTCTACTTTACTGCATGTAATTTGCAAATTATACATTATTGTCTTCTTTTTCTTCTCTTGAAATCATGTATCTTTTTGCTTGGTTGGGGTGCTAACTCTCTTCTTCAACCTTTTCATCAGCTCCTGTAACTATTTTTCTCTGGTGCCAACTTTTGTTGTGGTCAGATAATGAAATGTTTATCTTAAAGGCCTAGAAATGGAATGCTTTTCTCCAGTATAACTTGATTCTATATTCGTGGCTTTTCTTGATATGTCTGAATAGTTTCATGTAACCAGGAAATTTCCCATGCTGTTACTAAAGGTCATGTACTCCATGCTCAATGTAATATTTTCCTTGTCTGTATTTCTCTATAACATGGTGTACAGTCACAATTCTGTACACATTTTTCTTGTATCTGATTAAATTCAAGTACCATTTTCATTAGGTTTGACTTCCAGGAAATTTAAGAAGGCATCTCATAAGAATAAGAAATCATGCTGCAGAAGGTTTTTCTTCACCTCTTTATCTTTTTGGTAACTGACCTAAAAAAAAAATTTAGTGTTTTATCAAGATAATTTTCTATATTGTCTTCATTAGGTTTTTTATTAGTTAGGAAAACTGAGCTTTTAAAGGTTTAATGTTTTTATATCCATATAACTTTTTGTTTTGCTTTTTGAAGTATTTTGACTATAACTCTGGTAAATAAATATTATTTTACACAACCTATAATTTTGGGGTTTCTTTACATTTTTTTTTCCTTTTTGTTGTTGTTTTAATTTTGTTTTAATAGTTTGGGGGTATGAGTAGTATTTTGTTACATGGATGAATAATATAGTGGTGAGTTCTGAGATTCTAGTGTACCCATCACCAAACTAGTGTACATTGCACTTAATGGTTTGTTTTCTATATCTAGCCACCCTCCTGCCCTTCCTCTTCTGAGCGGCTGATGTCCATTATATCACTCTGTATGCCTTTGCGTACTCATAGCTTAGCCCCTACATATAAGTGTGAACACACAATGTTTGGTTTTCCACTCTAGTGTTACTTCACTTAGAATAATGACCTCCAGCTCTATCAAAAGGTGATTTTGTTTTGATCAAGTGTTTTGAATCTTTTGAAATCTTTGGCAGGTTTCTCTAGAATCAAAATCCTAAATTAAATCTTTTGGGGCTAAAATTAACTTTGGAATTTTCTGGTTAAGTGCCTCTAATGTGTCAAAGAGTGTATCTCTTCTCTTGTGGTAATGCTAAATGATTCGACTTATTTGCTAAATTATGCGGGAGATATTGTCAAATGACAAGTGATACTATAAACTCTTTCAGTTACATTTATGGGTATATAGCTGTTAAATATGTTTTAAAAATTATACAAATTCATAAGTCTACTATATTATCAATCATAATTTTAATTATGCTAAATCTTTTCTACAGTTCTGTTTGTATGGGTAAGTCATTAATGTTAATGTTCTAAAGATTATATAGAATTTATTAAATCTGATGGTCCTGATGTGACACTGTCAGTCATGAATCTGGTTACCTTAAAATACTACATGTAGTAAATTTAGTAAATTTCTTTGTCAATTGAAAACTTTCATCCGATTTTAACCATAAGCTATTTCAAGCTTTCACCATGCACAGTTATTGTCTTGAGTTCTCTAAAAGCATTTCCAATCAGCTCTATTCCAAAATTGCTTTTTTCTAACTAGTACTCTTAAACACAGATTTCTGATAACTTTAAAATAAATGGACAAAATAAAAATTTTCAGAACTCTCATTGTAAAAAACGGATACATTCATATAACTGCTAACCAAGTTAAAGCAAAAATGAATTAATTACATGAAATGAAGTAGTTGACAAAGATAATGTCTTATGACTTTTAATTAAAACATTGCTAGTTATTTACTTAAATGTTTCCTTTTCACGATTGAAGAAAATTTTGCTTTATAAGCTATCTATAGTTTTAAACAATCTGGTAAAGTATACTTTTGTGAACAATAGTGGAGAAATTTGCTTTTCCTCCCTACTTGATTTATCCAAAATTTGGAAGCTGTTTGTGCATATTCTTATTTTTTATTTACATAAGTTTAATAAAAATCTACTCTGTCTTTGTATGCAGAATACAAGTAGAAACATTGATTATATTAAATATTACCAAGGCTTTGACTAAAATGCCATCATTTAAAATGTGCATAGAATGTCCAGCTTTAGGAGTTTGCAGCCTTACAGTAAGTAAAAAGTGTCACTTCCTGGCAGCCTCAAGAACCTTTAGATGCTAAGAAAAATCTAAGGTATGCCTTAGTTTGGGTTCTTGGGTTCCTAGCCTTAAAAGGTTTTTTTTTTTTGTTTATTTATTTATTTATTTATTTATTTATTTATTTATTTATTTTGAGACAGAGTCTTGCTCTCTCACCAGGCTGGATTTCAGTGGCGCGATCTCAGCTTACTGTGACCTCCGCCTCCTGGGTTCAATGGATTCTCCTGCCTCAGCCTCCGGAGTAGCTGGGACTATAGGCATGCAACCACACTCAGCTAATTTTTGTATTTTTAGTAGAGACAGATTTGCACCATGTTGGCCAGGATGGCCTCAATCTCTTGACCTCGTGATCCGCCCACCTTGGCCGCCCAAAGTGCTGGGGTTACAGGCGTAAGCCACCTTGCCGGGCTTCAAGAAGTTTTAAATCTGAGATTCCTATAAGATCAATGTGGAAAGAAAAAGTTATATTTCCAAAGAAAAACTGCAATACACCTGTGTATTGTTTTTATGTTCTTATTCTCTCTGACTGAATCAGTTTCTGAATTTTCCTAATTTTCTCCAATATTTGGCTACAACTCTGTAACTCAAACAAAAAAAAAGCTACTCTGTTCCTATAAAAAGCAATATAGAAGTTGAAACTAGATGAATTTCAAGAGACAAACCCTGTATCTGATGTATGGACCACATAAAATGTTCACTAAGCTGCCTGGTCATGACCAGAAACACTCAAACTACAAACTAGGAGAAGTTAATGTTTTCATAGTGTAAAAAGCTTTTCTCAAGACACAGAAACAGGACTCCTGATCATAGTAAGAATCTTACCCCACTTGCTACCTTTTGTACTTGACAAGATAATGATTAATTGAAATTTCATAATCAATAGCTTCTGCTGGTAACTTAACAGAAGGTAGCCTAATAAATCCTTCAGTACCCATTGGTTGAATTAAAAAAATATATATGTGCTATTGCTAGTACTACATGCCCATCTAGATAAATTTCTCTGGGAAAAGTTGACCCTCATATATACAAAATAAGCAAACAAGCTACATGCTTACAAAATCCTTCATCTAATTCCCTATGCTTATTTGATTCATGCAATTGGTGATCTTTAAGTCAAGGTTTATGGCTCAAAACCATTACCTAAACTGGAATTGTCACATTACTATTAATATTACTTTGTATTTTCCTTGTTTAAACTTTATATCTGTTACTAATTAAATTTTTGCAGAAGTGCAACTTCTAACAAGATAATATTGACCCTACACTTTAAGCTGGTACCAAAAGACCATGGAACAGACAAAATTGAACTTTCTAATGAACTCTGAGTGGACTTAGCATGAGAGCCCCTCCTTTTAAACCTCTGTTGTTGCTCAAATATGGCTAAAAGAATGTTGACACTGACTGCTACTTGCTCATCATTCTCCCCAATGTAGAATGAGACCAGCAACTGGGACAGGTACATTCTGGTGTCAAGGGACAACAAGTCTTAACTATAGTGTAATTTATCAGTGATACTTTCAGAGAAAGATCTTGATCAAAAGGGGGAAATGTGAAAGTCATCAGAATCCAAATGGAGCCACTAATTTTAAGAAAAGTCTGACACATAGAGCTGGGGAAGGCTATAAAGAGAAGGTTCTCATGCTTGTGTACTTTATAATGAAACCACAACCTTGCACAAAGTCTGTCACAACCTTATACAAAAAATATTTCTGCAAGGACATCCACTCAGCAGCTGCATGGCCAAACTTGGACTGGTGTCACCTTTGTTTTAATCTTTGGAGCAGTGGAGAAGTTTTTCAAAATGATTAGGTAATTTTTCTCATTTTTTTCTGTAAAACCTTTTGTCTTTCTTTACTTCCCTGAATATGCATGTAGTTTACTACAGCATGTATATTTCTTTTGCAGTGCTCTATTCCCAAATAGGCATCTTATTTTTAGACAGCCTCTCTTTGTCTGTTATTTTGATTGACAATGTATATGTGTGTGTTGAATAGTAAAGTAAAAATAAATATATATTTTTTAATTTGGAATTGCAGTTAAAAACTTTTAGGGTCACACTATAAAAATATTCCACTGCAACAGGAAATATAACTTTTTCCCTTGTCCATGGCAATGGTGAACCCAAGCCAGGAGGGAAACTCAGCCTTAATGAATACAGCATGGTGGTAATAAAGAGAGATTCTGATGTTGAATTACTCTTTTAGTTGCTACCCTCTTTTGTTTCATTTTGTTTTTTTCCAAAGGCAAAAAGACCTTCGACTAAGCTTGTCCTGAGATTCCTGTGTCGTCTTTTGTGCTTTTCCTACATCACCTTCTAAATCCATACTTTACTTTTAGAAGAAAATGAGAATCTCTCAGTGACTCTTCTCGTAGTTTGTCTGAGTTTTGGCAAACTGACAACTGGGAGTCTGCCTTTGTAACTTTCTGTCTTTCTGACATGTTCACTGAGATCTCCAATAAAAGACACAACAACCCAGTCTTGCCATGGTCTCCATGATAGTGCTCATCAATAGGAAACAAGATTGCTGTACCTCTTAGAAATGAAATTTCTTGTTGATACGTCTTTTCATTTCTCAGAAATTTGCCAAAATTAACTTTCTTCTCACATTTTCCAGACTCAGTTCTCTTGAGTGTTTTTTATGTCAGCTCTAAATTGAAAGGACAGAAATGGAAGATAGCAAAGTCAGTCTAAATGGTTTATATTCCTAAGACTCCAGAGAAGTTTTCCAAGATAAGTGACTGTATTTTCAAAACTGCTACAAAATTTTACTATTGCCTGAGAAGCCAAGACATACTAACATTTGTTAAATAATCATTATGTGCTAGGACCCCCATATGCACAACATAAATTAACCCTGTTCTATTTTACATAGAGAGTTTTATCTTGCAATTGTTTTAAATAAATTTGATTTAGCTTCTGAGATTTAAAAATCAGAAGTTTTTACCTAAAAATCCAGTTTTCTGGGTTCTCTGGAACTATCTGAAGATATAGTAAAGTAATACACAGTAGCTCCTGTATTAGTTTGCTAAGGTTGCCACAACAAAATACCACAGCCTGGGTGGGTTAGATGACAGAAATTTATTTTTTTACAGTTCTGGAGACTAGAGTTCAAAATCAAGGTGTCAGCAGGTTTGGTTTCTTCTGAGGCCTTTCTCCTGGGCCTGCAGACAGCTGCCATCTCCCTGTATCTTCACAGTGTCCCCTCTCAATCTCTGTGTGTGTCATAATCTTTCTTCTTATAAGTATCAATCATATTGAGTGGGGTCTGCCGTATTATCTCATTTTACCTTAATTGCCTCTTTAAAAGCCCTGTCTCCATATTCAGTCACATTCTGAAGTACTCGGGGTCAGGATTTTAATATATGAGCTTGAAGAGAGCAAATAAGTAGTTAAACATTCAAACACATATGTTGGATATTATGATGGTTAATGGTATATGTCAGTTTGACAGGGCTAAGGGATGCCCAGATAGCTGGTAAAACAATATTTCTGGTATGTCTGTGAGAGTGTTTTTGGAAGAGATTAGCATTTGCAACAATAAACTAAGTAAATAACATCACTCTTACCAATGCGAGTGGCAGTCACCTTAAATAGAACAATCCATTCATAAAATTATAATTTCCTTGAGAGATGTGCTGCTTCTGATATTCAAGACACTCAAGTTCCAGTTCTGACACTACTCAAACTTGGGCAACTATATTGCCTCTTCTGTAACTTAATTTAGATAAGGTTATTTTTAAAATAATTACTACTTCCATGTATTTAGTGTTTAAATTTGTCTAGGCACTGTGCTAAACATTTTACATATATTTTCTAATTCTCACAGCCTCCTTTAACTAGATATTATTATGCTTTTTTTTATAGAGGAAGAAACATGGCTCAGAAAGATCAAATGATTTGTTCACAGTCATACAGATATTAAAGGACACTTTGGGATTTGAACAAATTATGATTAAATAAAAAATTGGCCTTTTCAACCATGTAGTATAATCAGTCTTGCCAAGAAATTCAATGAGGTGCTATATTAGATCTTTGGAATCAGACCTCGGCTCAAGTCCTTGCTCCACTATTTCTTCCTTAAAGTATCTATACCTTAGTTGTCTCTTCACTAAAATGGAGACATGTGCCATACCTTTGACATGTTATTCCTAGGATGAGATAATTTATACATCTTAAATTCTTCAGCAGTTTCTGTTCCTGTAAGTATTGTCATTTTGTTGCTATTAATGGTAATAAGTGTCCATTCAGTTCCTCAAATCTATGATGCGTAGATAAAACTGAAGCTTCCAAAGTGACACAGGAGAATGTACTTCTAACAATATGGTAGATTAGATCACAAAAGATGGAATTGAAGAAATCTCTGTAGCAGTTGCCTGGATACCTAGATGGTTATTAAATCCATGAAATCAGAGACTCTACCTTAACTACCTCTATTCCATAGGATCTCCTAGAGATTCCATTTTATAGTAGATGCTTCTTTAAAGAGTTACTTAAATTGTATTAAACTCAGTGGTTTACTTGCAAATAAATGGCTGATTGTTTTACAGAAGTCTTAAACGTATGTATTTTTAATTAAAATTACAACCACAAACTGTAAAAGCATATGGTCTTAATTAAAACACTTATAAACTCACACTTGTAGAGAAAAGTGATACTAGGGTAGAGATAGTTAGTATAAGAAATATTTTTTTCTTTTCCAAAATGCCATTTGCCTTCATTAATATTCAAATGCGGATAAAAAGTACTTTTCATAGACTCCTTAAGATATCAAGTATGAAGACTACTCCAGAGAGGGGATTAAAAGTAAATTCCCTGGTTTTAAAGTGTTAGTTTTTAACATTTCATATAAATGTTTTCAGTAAACTTGGTATAAAAGCATGAGTTTAATGCTTTTAAGAGTGTATAATTTTACAGTTGATGTCGAATTTTGCTTGTCTTCAAATAATCACCATTTATATAACAATTCTCTCCAAAGCGTCTAAGCCATCTTCTACTGCCATTAAAGAAGAGGAAATGGCAGATAAAACATGAGTCTTTTCTAGTCATCACTCAAACCCCAAAGCAAACCTGGGGCTTTTAAGAGATCGAGAAATGTTCAGCAGCAATATTATTTCACTAAAGAAAGATAATCACAACTTTAAGATGTGGGCCTATTTAAAATATTCTTCCTTTTTTAGATATCAAATTACATTTTGTGTATTATCTTTTGTTTTATAATGATAAAATGACATATTATAAAAAAGTAAAATATACAAATATATGGTTTAAAAAGTAAAGGGGCAATATGGTTTTACTTCCACAGACATTGTTAATTGTTAAAAGTATATTTCTTTTTGCTTTCTTTCTTTCTTTCTTTCTTTTTTTTTTTTTTTTTTGAGACAGAGTTTCTCTGTTGTCACCCAGGCTGGAGTGTGCAGTGGCGCAATCTCAGCTCACTGCAACCTCCGACCCCAGGTTCAAGCGATTCTCCTGCCTCAGCCTCCCGAGTAGCTGGGATTACAGGCACCAACCACCATGCCTGGCTAATTTTTTTGTATTTTTAGTAGAGACGGGGTTTCACCATTTTGGCCAGGCTGGTCTGGAACTGCTGTCCTCAGGTTATGCACCCACCTCAGCCTCCTAACGTGCTGGGATTACAGGCATGAGCCACTGCACCTGGCCTAAAAGTATATTTGTAAACATCTTGAACTGCTTGAACTTATATGAATTCTTTTATATCACTTTTTATAGTTAAATTTTAATTGTGTGTATATATTTTAATGAAATATACCCATCTTTTTGTGTAATTTATTTTGTTTTTTTTTAAATTATTCTTTCGATATATAAAAAATATTCTTCTATTTTATTAAGCTTTACTATGATTTAATCAATTTAGTTACTGTTTTATCCATCCTAATTTTATCTGGATATGATATGTATTAAAATTTTCCCTTATCACTACTCTTTTACAGCTCTATGAGTTACTAAAATTAATTTTGACATGTCTTCATATTTCTAAAGGCTGTCAAATTTTTAACTAAAAAAAGAAAGACCAGGAGTGGTGGCTAACACCTGTAATCCCAGCACTTTGGGAGGCCAAGGCAGGTGGATTACCTGAGGTCAGGAGTTCGAGACCAGCCTGGCTAACATGATGAAACCCCATCTCTACTAAAAATACAAAAAAATTAGCCAGGCATGGTGGTGTGCACCTGTAATCCCAGCTACTGGGGAGGCTGAGACAGGAGAATCACTTGAACCCAGGAGGCAGAGGTTGCAATGAGCCCAGATTGCGCCACTACACTCCAGCCTGGGCAACACAGCAAGACTCTGTCTCAAAAAAAAAAAAAAAAAAAGGAAAGTAAAAAAGAGGTTATAGATGACCCTTTCTAGATGACACTTTTGGCAGCAAACGTTAATAAACAAAATATTATTTATGTTATATTATATAATTATTTATATTATATGAAATATTATTTATATTATTTATATTAAAAGCTTCACAAATAATTTACTGATTTTTTTCTGGTTAAGCAATTTGGTTGTAGTTAGCACTTCCTAACTAGAAGTACAAGCGATTTTCAAATGGGTCTTTTCTAACTTATGGAGACAAATGCTGAAAATAATGACTTTGTATGCAACCTGACTTAAAGTCATTACCACAAAAACATTCATTGATTTTTTAGGAGAAGAATTTTAGAAGAAAAACTAAAAAGAACCATGAACCAGTTAAGCAAGTGATGAAATTTAGGCTATAATTTTGACAGAATCTTTTTTTATTTTTGTTTTGTTTTTATTTTTGAGATGAAATCTCACTCTGTCGCCCAGGCTGGAGTGCAGTGGCACCATCTTGGCTCACTAAAACCTCCGTCTCCTGCGTGGTTCAAGCAATTCTCCTTCCTCAGCCTCCTGAGTAGCTGGGATTACAGGCGGCCGCCACAGAGCCCAGCTAATTTGTGTCTCCATCTTGGTCAGGCTGGTCTTGAACTCCTGACCTCGTGATCCACCCGCCTCGGCCTCTCAAAGTGCTGAGATTACAGACCTGAGCTGCTGCGCCCAGCCGACAGAACCTTTCTATGCAAAATGTAAAAAAATGAAGACTGGAAAAGATCCTAAATGGAATAGTCACTTTGTTTTTGTTTTTTTTGTTGTTGTTGCTGTTTGCTTGTTTGTTTGTTTTTTGAGATAAGGTCTTGCTCTGTCACCGATGCCGGAGGTCAGCGGTGCAATCTCAGCTCACTCCAACCTTCACCGCTTGGGCTCAAGTGATTCTCCCACCTCAGCCTCCTAAGTCGCTGGAACCACAGGTGCGCACCACCATGCCAGGCTATTTTTTTGTGTTTTTAGTAGAAACGGGTCTCATTATGTTGCCAGGCTGGTCTTGAACTCCTGAGTTCAAGTGATCCACCAGGCTCCAGTCTCTCAAAGTGCTGAGATTATAGGTGTGAGCCAAACTAGTCATTTTTACAGTGGCAGTTGAATAGTCTTCAGTGAGTCCCGAGTTCCTTTTTCCTAATGGACTCTTTAAGTCCTGGAATTCTGACAATCTAGATTTTTAACCTGATGACGTGTATACATATTAATGGCTTCTGTGGTTTTAGAAAAACTTTAGTCATAATTCCATATTTGTTGGCTTCCTGATGGTACAAAGTATTGGAGAGATGATGATTGCTCGTTCCCTTTTCTCTAATTTTTGAGATTTGACACCAAGGATAAGGTATGAACTGGGAAAAACAATCTGATTAGAAAAAACTGGAATTAAAAATCATAAGCTTCAGCTACTCCCTGAATACATTAGTTGTCTTGGGAGATCCTCAATCCTCCCAAAAGGTACAAAGGGACCACTTGGCTTTCTGAATGCTTTTATAGATAATTACCTCAATTCATGTTTGTGTAGTATCACACAGTTTTAGTCACATTGCTAACTTGAATTAAGCAGAGAGGTTACCCCAATATAACATTAATTCTATCAGGGAATCAAAATTGTTTGCTTGTTTAAAGAGGTGACCATTTGTTTTGGCATTCTAGGCAGGCAAGGATGCTTGAGAAAAATATGAGAAAACTACAGAAACAACTCAAAACTTTTCTGACTTCCTTAAAAGAACATCTCCACGGAGGTTTACAGTGAGCTGGTAACAGAGCTGCTGCACTCCAGCCTGGGTGACAGAGTGAGACTGTCTAAAAAAAAATAAAAATAAAAAAAAGAACGTCTCCAATTTTAATGCATTTCTTTGTTCATGGAAATATACAAAGTGTATTAAGGAAGTAAAAACACTTTAAATCATGTCTCTTCAACCTAAGTGCTGGAGCAGTTTTTCTTTCTATAGGTTTTCTATTATTCTTATGTGAATCAGCACAGCAGAGTGTTTCTATTCATCTTGAAACCTGTTCCTAATTCCTATTCTGCCAAGACCATAGAGATGTTTTCAAATAGTAAGCCCCTTTGCATACGTTGTTTATAGATAAACAACAATAATCAAACTTAATTTATAGTGAATTATCATTGATCATAGTAATTGCATTGTGCAATTAGCAGTGGTTTCTACCTTTGCTGGAAACCACAAAACATTTTAAATCACAAAGATATTCACACTTTTTTGAATGTTCATTCGTTTGGTGGAGTAGTTTGTTGATATAAATTTGAGGTCAAATGCTGGCCTCTACATAAATGTGAACGTTTTGGTTTGTTAGTTGTCACTTTTTAAATCTGTAGCTAATACAAAATCTTAGTTATTTGGGGAGGAGATCTGCTGCTAAGAAATGCCAGGAAAAGCTTTCTGAGCCTCTAGTGTATTTTTGTTGTGGTAAATGTGAGCCATAAGCCAAGACTCTGGTGGCAAATAGTTATTCCATTGTTTTATCTAACTGTACACAATTTCATGAGGCTTATTCTTTTATTTATAAATGAGGAAATCAGAATTCAGAAAGATTAAATAAGTTAACTGAGGCTACTAGTGAATGGAAGTCAAGATTTAAACTAATTATGTTTAACTTTAAAGACCATAATTGTCTCATTAAGCCAAATTAGATCTAGGAATGCTGCCTTTCCAAACTTCTATCAAAAAATGGAGGCATTGGCTGGGATTTGGATCCTGACTTTCAGTAGTCTCCCTCTCGCTAAATGTGACTAGACTCACTGGTGGGTTTGGGCCCCACCTCAGTGGACTCATGTGACATAAAGTGGCTTATATTTTCCTGCTGAACCCTCATTGTACACTCCACATTGTCTATTTTCCACAAGTCATGAAATAAACATTTATCAATTAAATCCTATCCCTCCTTGATGGAAAAGCACCTAACCATTTCAACTGACAAACTGATTAACATCTCAACATCTTCTTTAGACCGGCAAAGACTGTATAATGAGAGACATGTCTGCCTCTCCCATCTTTTTCCCTATTCCTCCCTCTCTTTCAGTAGGAGGTCTCTGGCCACACTTCTTTCCTTTCTCTTCCACAAACTTGCCAATCTCATTTATGGCCCAGAGCCTTGACACTTGCCAACCCTTCCTCTCGGAACCATCTATTCCCAGATATGTGCAGGGTTTCTTTCATCTCATTAGGCATATGTCAGCTTATATATCACCACCTCTGAGAAGCCTTCCCTGACTGCCTTAGCTAAAATGACCTTAATTCTGTCAGGTTCTTAATCATCTAACATTACATGTTTTGTTTTTTTCTTCCTACACTAGAACAAATTACGGAAGATGTCTTGTTCATTACTCTATCGGCAGTTCTTGAACAGTGATGTGTGACTATAGTAAGCAATCAGTAAATATTTGTGGAAGGAATGTATACATGAATTAATAAATTATGCATCTGACTCTTAGTAAGTGATCAAATAAAAGCAATATACCTCTCTAGAAAGCAGTTTGTTAATCTCTTATAAAACTCAACATGTAATTACCATCTGACATGGCATTTGCACATTTGGACATTTGTCTTAGAGAAATTAGAATTTATGTTCACACAAACACCTGTACACAAATGTTGGTAACAGCTTTATTTATCACAGCTACAAACTGGAAACAAGCCAGGTGCCCTTCAGTTGGGTTAAACAGTTAAACAAACTAGTATATCTATACCATGAAACACTACTCAATAATAAAAATAAACTATTGACTACACTCATCCACTTGAAAGAATCTCTAGAAAGTTAGTCTGAGTGAAAAAAGCCAATCACACGGTTTACATGCTAAAAAAACTCCATTTGATAACATTCTTGAAAAGACGAAATTACAGAGATTGAGATCAGATTCGTGGCTATCAGGGTTAAGGACAGGGAAGGAGAAAACAAATGTGGGTGGGTTTATAAAAGGGCAAGATGAGGGATCTTTGTAGTGATGGGACTGTTCTGTATCTTGACTGTGGTGGTGGATAGAAGAAACTGTCAGGTGATAAACTTGCACAGAATTAAATGTACACACATTACACACAAATTAGTGTAAGTAAAATTGGAGAATTCTGATTAAGATGGGTGAGTTTTATCAGTGTCAATATCCTGGTTGTTATATTTTGATACAATTTTGCAAGAAGTTACTTTTAGAAGAAATTGGAAAAAGTGTTCACAGGATCTTTTTTTTTTTTTTTTTTTTTTTTTTTTTGAGACGGAGTCTCGCTCTGTCGCCCAGGCCGGACTGCGGACTGCAGTGGCGCAATCTCGGCTCACTGCAAGCTCCGCTTCCCGGGTTCACACCATTCTCCCTGCCTCAGCCTCCCGAGTAGCTGGGACTACAGGCGCCCGCCACCGCGCCCGGCTAATTTTTTGTATTTTTAGTAGAGACGGGGTTTCACCTTGTTAGCCAGGATGGTCTCGATCTCCTGACCTCATGATCCACCCGCCTCGGCCTCCCAAAGTGCTGGGATTACAGGCGTGAGCCACCGCGCCCGGCCCACAGGGTCTTTTTTATATTCTATTTTAAAACGGTATATAAATCTACAATTACCTCAACATGCAAAGTTTAATGTTAAAAAACAATATATCTGTGAAATATAATAACTTTTAAACAACATTAACTGTTTGAAAAATGAATAAACTGCTGTCCACAAACAATATTGAGAGTTGTGTTAAACAATCTAATTTTATACTTAAATTGTGATTTATGACCCTATTGAAAGAAAAATGCTTATGTATCTTTCTTTCTAGAATATCCTCATTTTGTATTCCTCCTCTTTCCTTTCAAATCCAGAGTCAGATTTTTATCCACTTGGAATGTACATTTTTTTTTGCAGAGGCCCTTAGAAAGGCTACTTGTATGGTCAACCTGAGAGGTAAATGCAAATTTCCAAAAGTGCACCGTAAGAACATGTAGTGAATATGCAATGCAATTCTTATTAGCTAAATAAATCCACAATTTGCTAAGTGATACTGTGGCAGTCATAGGTGACAAGGTGCATGCATAGTGGCTGCTCACACCTGAGCACAGAACATCAGTTTGTTAGCTGAGTTCTCTGGAGAAAAATAACACTGAAAGTTTTGATTCTAACATATTCCTTTAATCCAGATTTAAAACTTCTACTTTGGGTCCATGAAATTATCAGGTTTAATTATTGTGCCATATTTACACTTTCATAAGAAGTAAGAATTTTTCCTTTGAAAGTAGCATGACTTCAAAGTAAGCAAAAATTGGGTTTGAAGTCTAGTTCTGTCAATTATTAATTCACTATGAAACCATAAGGAAGCCATATAACTCTGCACCTCTCATGTCCTTTCATACTTCTCCATTAATCCCCTATCCTATCTCAACCATTTCCTTCTGTGGTCATAAACTAGAGCTTGTCATTATGTAGCCCCTTCATAACCTCAATTGTATGCATCCCATTCTCTGACTACACCTCCCCTCTTTCCACTGATACTTAGTTTCTGTTACTTCAACTCAAACAATTCTTTGATGTCAGCAAGACCTCTTTTCCTACTCTCAAACCATATGGTCTGTATTATTTTCTAAAAGTTTATAGCATTACATTTTAGTAAAAATGTTTTTAGTCTTTTATTTTTGTCTGTACTTCATTTTGAATAGTTTCTATTGCTGTGTCTTCAAATTCATTCATTTTTTAATTCTGCAGTGTCCAATTGGCCATTAATCTCAATCAATATATTTTTTCATTTTATGTATTTATTTTTCAATTTCATGTGACTCCTGTCTTACACCTTCTATTTCTTTCCAAATCAATTTCATGATGTAATCTTTCTTCCTTAACATATACAGCACATTTTAATAGCCAGCTTAACATACTTTTCTGGAAAGTTCATCATCTTTATTGCATCTAGGTCTGTTTCTATTAATTTTTTTTATGATTACAGATCAAACTTTTCTGCCTATTTGGATAACTGGTCATTTTGCTTAGATGACAGAGGTGATGTGTACATATATATCTACAATCCAACTAACTTATATTTTGAGGTATTGTTGGGAGGTGGGGGAATCAAGTTTCATTCTTTCTTTTCCATGTAGATATCTAAAGGTCAATGCACCACTTATTGAGATGAGACATTCATCTCCTCCATGGTTCTACAGTCCCCTTTTTGTCAAAATTTAAATATCCACATGTGCTTATTGTTTCTGGTTTCTCTCTTCTATTCGGTTGGCCTACTTATCTTTTATTTGCCCAATATCACATTATCTTAATTACTCTACCTTTAGACAAAGTTTTATAACAAATAGCTTTATAATAACCCAGTAGAGCTTTTTTTTGTCTGTTTGCTTGTTTTTTTGAGACAGAGTCTCACTCTGTCGCCGAGGCTGGAGTGCAGTGGTGCAATCTCGGCTCACTGCAACCTCTGCTTCCTGGGTTCAAGCAATTCTCTTGCCCCAGCCTCCTGAGTAGTTGGGACTAAAGGCACCTGCCACCACGCCCGGCTAATTTTTGTATTTTTAGTACAGACAGGGTTTTACCATATTGACCAGGCTAGTCTTGAACTCCTGACCTCACGTGATCTGCCTGCCTTGGCCTCCCAAAGTGCTGGGATTACAGGCATGAGCCACCAGGCCTGGCCCAGTAGAGCTCATTTTTTATTCAGGAATATTATTTTTAAAAATACATCTGCCTAGCAATCCAAGAGAATGCTCACTCTGGATGCAGTTTCAGCACCACCAAAGCACAGTGTAGGTGCTACAAATCATGCAAAATAAAAATATAATATTTTCTAATACTTAGGACTATCTTCATTACATGCTTTCATATGTTTTGGCAGACAAATATTTCATCCTCAAAAATCTTTCTTTTAGATAGGCACATAGTTACTGCTGTTTACACAAAATATATATGATATTCCCCTTAGAAGACATCAAAATGTTATTTAAACATTTACAGAATTGTATAAAACTTTTAAAGGCATTTTTTGTACTTTAAAAAAAAATTTTCACATGCTACTTTGGACAAATCAATTACAGACTAGTTTCTAATTGCATCACCCAAATCTAACAAAACTTTGTTTCAAGGATTCTAACCCTATACCTCAACACACCTGCTTAGAAATGTAACAGCACAGGGCTATAGTTCTCCACTTATTTGTTCTTTGAAAATGCAAAAGCTATTGTGCAGCCAGAAGCTTCAAACTCAATGCTCTTAACTGTCTAGAAAAAGAAGTTATGTTTCAATCCTACAATTGGCATCAGCATTGTCTCAAGAGTGCAGACTAA
This sequence comes from Homo sapiens, assembly GCF_000001405.40. NCBI lineage: Eukaryota > Metazoa > Chordata > Mammalia > Primates > Hominidae > Homo > Homo sapiens. The sequence goes on along the minus strand of NC_000011.10, from coordinate 41,797,995 downwards.
GAACAAAGAGTCAGGAAGATTGCTGCTCTGCAGATAGTCTTTGAATATTTATATAAATTGTTGGACTGCTTAAACTTCTTGCAACTTCTTAAGTAGGTGAAGAGATTTTTACCTGTGTGAGCAGTATATGTGTTTCGTGCAAGCTAACAAGGTCTTGAAGCAGATTTTATGGGCACTTTTGTGAGCTCCCTCTATAATGAAGACATTGTGTTCCAATAAGGCCTTTTTGCCCTTGGATAGTGCAACAACATATGCCCTCATTATAGGTGTAAGTCCAAGCTGACAAGGATGGCCATGTTCTTATGAGGATTGTCACCCCATTCATCACTGTCAGGAAGTGGTGAAATTTAGGGGGAATCTATAAGATTTGGAAGAAAGTTAAAACTAGCATTGTGTTGGTAATATAAAAAAATTACTGGCTCCTTATTTTGGGAAGTCTATCATTGTCCTGGAGACAATGGGCTCTTTTTGAAATGTCCAACATTAGTTTGAGGTCAGAAAGACTTAATTTAGAATTTGAAATTTGAGGCTGGATGTGGCTTACACATGTAATCTCAGCACTTTGGGATACCGAGGTAGGAGAATCACTGGAAACCAGGAATTCAAGAACAGCCTGGGCCACAAAGTGAGAGCCAAGACTTGCTCTCTACAAAAAAATTGTTTTTTAAAAAATTGGCCAGTTTTTTTAAAAAGATGAGGGTGATAACAGAAGTTATTTTGAAGGAATTACCATTGTTTTAGGTGCCTGGCTTAGTACACGAATCCATAGTTCATTGGTTGCTGCTGTTCAAGAGTTGCAGAGCTGGTGAAGCTCAGCTGCTTCCTGGGATGTTGTGGTTGGAGCAGTTTGGTCCAGTTCAAAAGTTTAAAACAGTCTATAGGGTTTTTGCATTATTGCAGGATGGCCAGGTAGTCCTCCTTAGAATGGCTTCCTGACTCCACTTTAGAGCTCTGAACCAGAGTGAAACCATGTTGTATATCACATTCCACATTTCCCTTTTGATCAAGGTCTGACATGAGGAAGTATCACTAATCAATTATCATTTGATTGGCACAGATTTGTAATTGATTGCCCTTTGAAATGCTAGTGTTGTGCCCCATGAGAGAGACTGTTGGAAGTTAACGTACTTCCAAGACTTCAGAGATTGGCCAAACATGAATGACAAGGGAGCCACTCTAAGTAGGAGGCCTGTAGTATTCTATGATGATAAACTATACACCAGGAGAAGCATGTATTTAATTAACCATGTCTAAACATTGTGACATTATTATTTTAATATCCTGGATGGGCTAGCAGCAACAGTAAGTTCAGAGGGTATAATAAAAATTTCTCTGCCAGCTTGTCAGATCCTGGATTCCCTTGACTGTAGCTTCCAGATAAGCAGGTCAGCTTTGATATCCTGATGCACCAAAACTGTAGGAGCAAAAGGAAAACTTCCCTTTGCTGTCTGAAGAGTTGCTAAAAATCAACTGCCAAAAGCCAAATTAATAAGAGAAAAGGCTTACAAATTTTATTAATGTGCATGGGGACAGAACATAGAGTAATTACTCCCAACCCCTAATGGGGCACAGAAGCTTATATAAGTTTTTTTTTTTTTATAAGAGATAGAGGAGATGGGACATATAGACAATTAGGGAGAATGAAGGGACCAGGGAGACATAAATTAACTTGTAAATAAATTACTTTGGAATTTTAATGAGCCCCAGAGGCAGATATTATCTTGTTAAAAATTTCACCTGGATATGGTTCCACTCTTTTCTTTTCTGAAATAATGAGATTTCTGGAAGGGGATAGAAGGCAATTGTGTTTCTTTTAGTAAGAAGGTTTCTTGGTCAGATTAGGAAATTCCAAAGGGAGTCTCTCCCTGCCATGTAGAGGGAGGAACAAAACAAGGTTAGACAGACCTTGATTCTGAGGCTTATTTCTGAGGCCTTTTAATTTTCAAAAGCACTTGCATGCCCAAGAGCCATATTTTGGGGAATCATTTTCTATTCCCCAGCATTCCCCTATCTGAAACTTCCCTAGAAATTTCACACACTAAAGACTGAGTTGGTGGCTGTGGAGAGAAAAATGGAGTTAATAGCTGAGTGATGAAGGATTTCATTAAACCATTTCTTATTTAACAATGATTCTTGAATGATGTTAACATCTCAGGTAAGCCTAATATGCTTCTCTTAGGGTTCCATGGGCTCTTTTTGAAATGTCCAACATTAGTTTGAGGTCAGAAAGACTTAATTTAGAATTTGAAATTTGAGGCTGGATGTGGCTTACACATGTAATCTCAGCACTTTGGGATACCGAGGTAGGAGAATCACTGGAAACCAGGAATTCAAGAACAGCCTGGGCCACAAAGTGAGAACCAAGACTTGCTCTCTACAAAAAATTGTTTTTTTAAAAAATTGGCCAGTTATGGTGGTGTGTGCCTGTAGTCCCAGCTACTTGGGAGGCTGAGGTGGGAGGATCACTTGAGCCCAGCAGTTTAAGGCTGCAGTGAGCTAAGGTTGTGCCACTGTACTCTAGCCTGGGGGAAAGAACAGGATCCTGTCTCAGAAAAAAAAAAAAAATTTGATTTGGGGAAAGTTTATCAAATATCAGTACTTTAAATTTGATAGTAAAATAGGGTCACTATAAAATAATAGTAATTCATTCAGCCAAATTGATAAAAGATTTTTAAAGGCAAAACAGACAAAACTAAAAACTTCACTCTTTGATAGAGAGTAACTTTGGTTTTCTCAAAAATCAGATGACCTAATTAAGGTAGTATGAAAGACTAGGTGTGGTGACTCATGCTGGTAACCTCAACAATGTGGGAGGCCAAGGCAGGAGGATTACTTGAGCCCAGTAGTTTGAGACCAACCTGGGTAACGTGGCAAAACCCCATCTCTACAAAAAAAATAAAATAAAATAGCCAGGTGTGGTGTAGACCCAAATACTGAGAAGGCTGAGGCAGGAGGATTGCTTGAGCCCAAAGGTTTGGGTTGAGGCTGCAATGAGCCATGATCATACCACTGCACTCTAACCCGGGCAATAAAGCAAGACCTTGTTTTAAAAAAAAAACAAAAAACAAAACAAAACAGGAAAACTCTCCTCATTTATTTTTGAAGTTTACTCCAAAGATGAACAAGTATTTTACTATTTCATATTAATACTGTACAAAATTTTTACTTAAAAAAATCACATTATACCTTTGCATCATGGTGTTATTAATACTAAATGTAATTTTAACAAAGTCTTATAAACAAATTCATGCAATCTCAGTCACTTTTTTACCACATGTGATAAAATTTTTATAACCTTTCCTAACTTCTTAGAATTTTTTATTTCCTTTCTATATCCATTCAGTTTTATCTATCATTCATTTTTTATTCCTTCACTTTAAAACAATCTTTCAATAATCTGTAAACTAGACAAAATAATTTTCCTTTAACAAAAATAACATTCTTATTTGTTTTATAACCATCCTAATGAAAAACACATCTTACTTTTCTTTCAAACTTTGTGTGCAAAATTTTTTCTCTTATATCTAGTAGTTTTCATTACATATATTCACTACAGCCTTAAACATCACCTTAATTTCCAGTGAAAAACCTAGGAAGTAAGCAATTTTAATTGTTATGTATCGAGTGAAGAGTCCTGGAGAGAGGACACAGCTATTAAGACAATCATCAGAGGATCTAATCCTTTCCAGCATGGCCAGGAGGCACACCTGGGCCAGGGGGGAGGTATTGGGCTTGGAGCAAGCTCCCTTAAGTCCTGCTCCTCCAGGATCACCCCCATCTTCCTATCCAGCTTCAGCCTCTCACTTGCCCACTCCTAGAAATACTCACCTTAAACATGCTGCAGTCTCATTCTTACCCCTTCAACAAATGCCCAATGAATTTGGGCCCAATAAGGTCCAGGTCTCCTTCTCCCATAACATTTCCCTGCTCTGAAGAGGTATGTCTAACTGCTGTTAGAATATGGAAGATGACCAGTTTTACCTGCTTCCTTCTGACAGGGGGCATTGTTTTGGGGGATAACAGCAGTCAGATTCGTCCCAGGGGTGTATCTAAGGGTTCCCAGCAAAGGGGAGCCATTGCCCGAGGCTCTAGTTGCCCGACCATTTAGAGTTTCATGGCTTCTAGGCATGAGAAAAAATAAATAAATGTTATAAAGTTAAGTATGCATGGGTTAAACATGTGTATTATATAAGGAAAAAATTAGTGCCATAGATTACAGTGACAAGAAGTAAAATATACTAACAACAACATTGTATTCTGAGCTGTTCCACCCTGCTGAAAGAAATTAAACCTTGTATGGGAGCAGTTAAACTTTAGAAGAGAGATAACTGTTCTTGCCATATCTTTAGCAGTTAACAGGTGCACCCTGGGAATCCTGGGGTTTGTGGGCTTGCCTGGTGGCCATTAAAGTTTCTGGTTTTTTCCTGTATTTCCTCTCTTTTTCCTGGGCCTCCCTGTCTCTATTATAAAAGACAGAGGTGGCCAGTTTCAGGAGGTCCTCTAGTGTATTGTCTGGTTCAGAACACATTTCTGCAACTCCCTCCTGATGTCAGGAGCTGCCTGATTAATAAATTTATCCTTTAGGATTAGTTGTCCCTTGACTGAATCAGGAGATAGAGAGGTGTGCTTTACCCAGGCCTCTCTTAGCCTCTCCAGGAAGGCAGTGGGGTTTTCATCAAATCCCTGGTCGATCATAGACAACTTATTATAACCGAGAGGCTTTGTCTTAGTCCCATGTAAGCCCTCCATTATGCATGCCTGGAAGTGTCTCCTCTTCCAGTCTTCCATCTTGTCACTGGGATCCCATTTAGGGTCATGCACTGGTACTGCTTCTTTTCCAGTTCGATAATATTCATCCCCTCCCCTGACACTCTATGTGACACAAAGCTCATCCCCAAATCTCTCTGCTGCTTTCAAAGCAGCATGTTTCTCAGTGACCAGCAGGGTCTGATTCAAAAGTAACATAACGTCTCTCAAGGAGAGTTCAAATATTTTAGTGAAATTCTAGAAAGCATTGATATCTCTATCAGGGTCATCTGAGAATTTGCCATGATCCCCCTTAATTTGCTTTAAGTCCTGTAGGGAGAAGGGGACCTGGACCTTACTGGTCCAGTAAGGTCACTCCCTGGAGGGGAAATAATGAGACTGGGTCTTAAGGCGAGTATTTCTAGGATGGGGAAAGTGACAGTCTGAAGCTGGATAGGAAGCTCAAGGGGGACCTGGAGGAACAGGGCTTGAGGGAGCTGGCTCCTCTGCTGGGGGTGCCTCTCGGACATGAATCTTTAATCCCCTGGGCTTGCCCCTTACAGCCTTCCCTGAGATGGCAAACAGGAGGGCTGGATCAATCCCACATTGTCGGCAAAGGTCGCGATTGCCTTACAAGGTATAGAAAGTCTGCACATGTGAGGCCTCAGACCATGTGTCCTCACATCTACATAAAAGTTCCAACTGCTGGATGGTATCAAATGAATGGTTCCTTCCTGAGATCAAGCCAGTCCTCCCTGTAAAACAAAATTTGGCCAAGCCCTTGTTCAGAATCCTCCAGATTCTGAGAGTCAAAGCAGTTCCAATGGTTCAGGATCTACCCTATTTAAGTTTAAGCTGGGGGTGATGAAGAGAACTGGTTTCCCATTCTGAAAGACAGGGAATTGAGGTGTCCCTCATTCCCTTCCTTCTTTCAGCTAACATTCAGCGTGTGATGGAGAGAGAAAGCAAGCATCCTGTCTTCACTTTCCACCCCTTATCCCTGAGCCCCAGTGACCTTGGCAGGTGCCAGACATAGGTACTAATGAGGTATGTACCCATGAAGCAGGGAAAACCTGGAGAATAGAAATTAACCACCCTCACCTATGCCTTCATTTCTCCCTGCTGTCAGCAAATCTTGAGTTCCCTGGGCCTGTTTATGCCATGAACTATGGGCTCCTTCTGTGGGGTGGGGTTGAGTCAGCAAGAATTGGCCTTGCCCACTTACATTGTGCCTGTTGCCTGACTTTGGATACCTCCAACCTGTTTTTTTCTTTCTACAACTTCAGTCTGAAGCTTGGAATCAAGTTTGGGACTGAAAATATATTTTAGAGGCTGTTTTTATCTGTTTAGAGTGTCTCAAATGTGCCCTGCTAAATTTACATTTCTCAGCCAGCAGGGGTTGTTCCTCTTCCTCTGCTAACTTACTGATCAGAAACAGAGCTGGAAGTGGGGAGCCCTCTCACTTAGAAAAGAATTAAAAAAAGAGAAAAACCGTTTAAGGGGCAAAATGGAAAGATCTTGGGGGAAGAAACCCTCACTTAATGCTTGTGGGTTCCTCTAACCCTTCCCCCCAGTTCAAACTGGGTTGAATTCCTCTGCCAGGGGAGAAATCTTCTGTTGGAGTGGCAGGCAAGAAGTGCCCATCCATTGGCCACTCATGGCCATTGGACTTGGCCTTTGCCTGCTGTGGGCATGCCCAGGTGCCAGAGCTGGGAGAGTAAAGGGTAAGAGGAGGTACTCTAAACTATGTGTGCCTGTGGCTGTCCAGGTGAAGGCATACATGGAACCTCTAGGAAAAATTTGTCTGACTTACACCTTTGGCAGCTGAGCCAAATGCTTATTTTATTGCCACAGCCTGTAGCAAAACTCTTAACATAAAGAAAGAGATAAGAGCCATTTTAAACTGTGTGAGGGAGGAAAAGAGGCAAAATCAGAGAGTTTTGACTGGCCTGGTTAGGGCAGGGTTTTTAAAAACTCTGTGAAGGGAAACAGAGCCTCTTTCTCGGAGGAAAGAGAGAAAAGCGGCAGAGTTTTGGAAAAGAGGCAGACCTGACAGTTTTACATTCACTCACATTCACTTTCCACAATCCTGGACAAGCCCCCAGTTGAAACAGGAAAAGTTCCCTTTTCACCCTTGCAGGGCATGCAATGGAGATGTGGCTCACTTCTTCAGCACCCCACTGTTCAAACCTCTAGGGGAGCATACAGATGGGCAGGCTGTGGGGCTCCAACCCCACAGTAGTGTCTAGGGTGAACGTTTACAGCTGAAGCCTCAGTGGGCATGTGTTACAGAGTGCTCTTTTAGTTTAGCTGTCCATAGGCAGCTTGTGTTAGTCAATTGGACCCCTGCCTTATATCAAGGACAGAGGGCTTTCTGTACCCCAAGGTTTTTGCCTTGGTGTACTAGAAGAATCAGATCACACATGGGTTTGGAGAATAAGTGCAAGGCTTTATTGAGTGGAAGTAGCTCTCAGCAGATGGGGGAGCCAGAAGGGAGATGGTTTTACCCTGGAGTCAGGCTGCTCAGGCTCCTCTGACTGCCCTGGACAAACCCCACCTCCTTCCCCTGGTGGATGGCCTGCTAGCATGTCAGCATCTGTCATGTGCTTTTTTGCCTGTGTGCTCCGCTTGATGTCTTCTCACCGTCCAGCTGCTTGTGTCTTCATCCACTGATGTGTTCCTCTCAATGTCCAGCCACTTGTGCATCTGCCCATTAGGATCTCAGAATTTGTATAGGCACAAGATGGGTGCACGACAGGCCAGGGTGGTCTTGGGAAACGCAACATTTGGGTGCAAAGACAGGAGTGCCTGTCCTCACCTAGGCCCATGGGCATAACCCTTGGGGTGGAGCCCTAGACAAAGATCTGCCCTTCTCCTCCCAGTACTTCCTTGCCCCCATTCTGTATCAATACCAGGTACCTCCCAAAGCCAAAAATATTAGGCCATTCAATGCAAATGAAAGCAGAGGTTTAGACCTAAGAAAAACCTTCCCATGGTTTTGGGAGCTCCAGGAGGAAAACAAAACCCTAAAAAGGAGATTTGTGGTACCTTTCTTCATGTTCCTCAAGAAGTCTCAGAGTCACTAGACATCTCTTTTAAGTCTCTTTATGTTGAATTGAAAGTGGAAAAGAGAAAAGAGGAGTGGAAGGAAATGAAAGAACAAGTCTTAGAGGAGCTAATTTAGAGATTTTAAGCTTCCCAGAAAGGCCAATGAATTTTACACTTTTGTCAGCAAAAATTATGCCAACAGAAAAAGAAAAAGCAAACAAAAGGATCAAATATATAATTAAAAAGTGGTTGTAGTTGATTTAAAAAAAATTCAGAAACAGGACACAGAAGAAAAAAAAACAGAAAGATATATATATATCCTGAATATCATCTTTTCATTAAGCTGACTTCTAACCATAGCTGACTTCTTATAAATGTTTTTCCAAATCTCTTATTATCAGATTTTAGCCAGGAGAAACATCCAATATTCCTGACTTTTGAACTTTTTACCAAATGTATCTTCCAAGTGACTCATCAAAACAAAAGCCTTAACTAAGGTTATGCCTTAACTAAGGTTATACCTTAACCAAGAATGCACAAGCATCTTCAAAGAGGTGCAAAGGATCCTCTCAAGATCCGGAAGCACTCAAAGACACTTCAAAGAAACGAAAGTTTTGCTAGCTACAACTGGGATACAATGCACATTTTTGTCTTGTCTGGACATGTTCTCTAGAATCTTAGCTTCTCAGCTGACCTTCTCCACACAAACGCTGACCATGCCCATCCATATGCCCTGCAGATGAAAGACTAAAAGAGACAGTTGATAAGACAGAAAATAAAAAGGAAGGGAAATAATCAATAACAAATAGATATCCCAAAAAGTCAAGAGTCACACAAATATCTGAACAATGCTTTACTCAATTTTTCTTTTCCAGAGTTAAAGGACTTATATCTGCCGAGACTACTTCCCTGACCAGGAATCAAACCTGAGCCATGGCAGTGAAAGTGCAAATCCCAGCTACTAGACCACAGGGTGGTGTGTCTTATTTTGCAAATTCCACAGGGAATCAAGGGAGGTAGTTTGAGCATAGAAGGAATTTTAACTTGCTTTTAGGTCAGTCTGCTCTTTTATTTTATTGAGATAATTTCTAAATCTAGTCACGACGCTATTATGTGTCTTTTTAAAAATTATTTGATGCTCCCATAAATACACATAAGGCAATTGTTTAAAATGAGAGATCAAGAAAATATAGGAGTCATTCAAATTTAAAACATCTGTCTTTTGGCCACCGATAACTGGAATTCCCAATGGCGTACATATTCTAATAGTAACTCAATTCAATAAGCCTCTTCATTGAGTCTGGGAAATAATTTTCCAGGTTTACAATAAGTTTTTACCATATTAGCAAGAGGGTGCAAAGAGTGTCAGTGGTATGGGATGGGTATAGCTAGGAGGGGCAGGTGACACAGTGAGAGGTGACAGCGTGCTGGCAGTCCTCAGAGCCCTCACTTGCTCTCGGTGACTCCTCTGCCTGGGCTCCCACTTTGGCGGCACTTGAGGAGCCCTTCAGCCCACCGCTGCACTGTGGGAGCCCCTTTCTGGGCTGGCCAAGGCCAGAGCCGGCTCCCTCAGCTTGCAGGGAGGTGTGGAGGGAGAGGCGCAAGCAGGAACCCGGGCTGTGCGCCCTGCTTGCGGGCCAGCTGGGGCTCCAGGTGGGCGTGGGCTTGGCAGGCCCCACACTCGGAGCAGCTGGCCGGCCCTGCCGGCCCTGGGCACTGAGGGGCTTAGCACCCAGGCCAGTGGCTGCAGAGGGTGTACTGCGTCCCCCAGCAGTGCCGGCCCACTGGTGCTGCACTCGATTTCTCACCGGGCCTGAGCTGCCTTTCCGTGGGGTAGGGCTCGGGACCTGCCAGCCCGCCATGCCCGAGCCTCCCACCCCCTCCATGGGCTCCTGTGCGGCCCAAGCATCCCGAACGAGCACCGCCCCCTGCTCCAGGGCGCCCAGTCCCATCGACCGCCCAAGGGCTGAGGAGTGTGAGCGCATGGCGCAGGACTGGCAGGCAGCTCCACTTGCGGCCCAGTGTGGGATCCACTGGGTGAACCCAGCTGGGCTCCTGAGTCTGGTGGGGACGTGGAGAGTCTTTATGTCTAGCTCAGGGATTGTAAACACACCAATCAGCACCCTGTGTCTAGCTCAGGGTTTGTGAGTGCACCAATCGACACTCTGTATCTAGCTGCTCTGGTGGGGCCTTGGAGAACCTTTATGTCTAGCTCAGGGATTGTAAATACACCAATCAGCACTCTGTATCTAGCTCAAGGTTTGTAAACACACCAATCAGCACCCTGTGTTTAGCTCAAGGTTTGTGAATGCACCAATCGACACTCTGTATCTAGCTGCTCTGGTGTGGCCTTCGAGAACATTATGTGTCCATACTCTGTATCTAACTAATCTGATGGGGACATGGAGAACGTTTATATCTAGCTCAGGGATTGTAAACGCACCAATCAGCACCCTGTCAAAACAGACCACTGGGCTCTACCAATCAGCAGGATGTGGGTGGGGCCAAATAAGAGAATAAAAGCAGGCTGCGGGAACCAGCAGTGGCAACCTGCTCGGGTCCCCTTCTGTACTGTGGAAGCTTTGTTCTTTCGCTCTTTGCAATAAATCTTGCTACTGCTCACTCTTTGGGTCCACACTGCTTTTATGAGCTGTAACACTCACTGCGAAGATCTGCAGCTTCACTCCTGAAGCCAGCAAGACCACGAGCCCACAGGGAGGAGCGAACAACTCTAGACGCGCTGCCTTAAGAGCTGTAACACTCACCTCGAAGGTCTGCTGCTTCACTCCTGAGCCAGCGAAACCACGAACCCGCCAGAAGGAAGAAACTCCAAACACATCTGAACATCAGAAGGAACAAACTCCAGATGCGCCACCTTAAGAGCTGTAACACTCACGGCAAGGGTCCGTGGCTTCATTCTTGAAGTCAGTGAGACCAAGAACCCACCAATTCCGGACACAACAGGATAAGGAAAAATAGATAAAGGCATACTTGACTCAAGATTTCTTTCATTTTTAGAAGCTTCTGATTTTTTCTCCCAATTTTTAATTTGGCATCGATATCTCTTATAGTTTCTAGTTCAGATTCTTAGAGTCTTTTATCTACCTCAAGATAACAAATTAAAGTAGAAGTTCCTTTCAGGCTGTTTAATCTTTCCATTTAGCTGCTCAAATTGTCCAGGAAGGAGAGCAAGTTTTGGGAAATCAAAAGATCCCAGTTCGTCACTGTAATTACAGATCACTTCTAGTGATGTTGGTCCATTGAGAAAGAAATTTACAAGATGAAGTACTATAATTTTTGTGCATGAAACCAGCAGAGGTTCCAGAAGAGGCTGACTCACCACCTATACCCTTTGAAGTAAAGTCCCCATGAGTACTCCCCCAAAGGGGAAAAATCACTTTGTTGATAACTGGCAACAAAGGACCCTCAATAAAGGCCTGATCTCAACAAAGGTGGGAGGTGGGGGAAATAAGAGGACTCACCAACAAGTCTAGGGCATCTGGGAGGCAATGGAACACAAGAGGTTCTTGCAGGTTCTGTGCTCAAATTTGCAGCTGCACTGGAACACAGAGAAGGGGAATGACTTTTTATCCTGCTCTATTTGAACACCATGTAGTGTCAACCAAGAAAAGGCAAAAGACCAAACCGTAAAGCAGTAAGTCAAGGTGTTTATTGGGGTCTTAAGTATTGCAATTTGTAAGACACAGATTTGACTACATGCTAAATTGTGTTCCAAAGAGATGGAGAGCAGTAGGGGGTTTTGAAAAGGAAGCTAAAAGTGATTACACAAGTTGCTTTGAAAGAATTATCATTGTTGAAGGCAGCTGGCTTTGTATATGTGTGCATATTTCATGGGTTATTTCTGTTCAGGAGTTGCAGTGCTGGTGAAATTCAGCTGTTTTCTGGGTTGTTGTGGTTGTAGTGGCTTGGCCCAGTTCAAAAGTTCAAGGCAATTTCCTGTGTTTTTTTGTTTGTTTTGTTTGGTTTTTTTGCAACGTTGCAGGCTTTGCAGGTAGTCCTTTTTAGAATGGCTTTCCAATTCCATTTTAGAGCTCTCAACCAGAGTGATGCCATCTTGTATGTCACATTTTTACTCTTTCCTCCACTGCTCTGATCCATAAATTCTAGCAATGTTGTCCTCTGTATACTCTCTACTCTGATTTCTCAATGCAACAAAACATGTGGGCTTTATTTGCATTCTTCCCCTCTGCCTTGTGGCCTGGAAACTGCTTCTATACAGTAAGTTTGTGCAATCACAGGGCTAACCTTGTTTGTTAATGTTCTCTCAGGTATCAAGTTTTGTGCTGCCTGCTTTCCATTGTCTGAAAACCCTTGTTTTATATATTTGATCTGATTTTCTAATTGTTTTTAGCAGGAAGATAAATCCAGTCCTTGTTAACTCCATTATGTCCTGAAGTGAATGTCTTTAATTTACTCATTTACTTTATGTACTTTGTAAAAATCTTACCTGCACTAAAATGTAAGCTTAATAAGGGCTCAGATATCTATGACGGATTTATTCGCTGAGGTACCCCAATCACCTAGAATGGTTTCTGGTACATAGTAAATGTTAAAAGTAGTTGTTGGATGAATAAGCAAATGAATAAATTAGTATCATTTGATAGTATGTGTTCTCATTCTTTATAGTATATTATTTTCATTTTCCAAAGAAAACACTGGTCCAAGTGAAAGTTTTTATCTACTTGACTAGTTTCCGTATAGCCCACATTTTGCCACTGTTTAGCAAATTTATATAAATTAATACTTGGAACGTTTTAAAAATTATTTAACCTTGATGATGATATTTATGATGATAAAGAGGTATAATGAAAAACCAACCCTTTTCTCTCTACCATGCTTACATCTGATGCTTCCAGAATACTTTGTTTCTGACACCAGATGTAAGGGGTTTTTTCCCACAGCAAGCAATTCTCCAATTCTCTGGGGACACAAGCTGGCTGTCCTATAATTCAATTCAATTCTGACACTATCCACCTGGAGTTAGTGCAGATCTCACAGGTTAAGGACTTTACAATACTGTCCTCCACTCCCACTTCAGACATGAGTCATAAGTCCAGGTCACCACCTGTGCTTCTGACAAACCAGGTATAAATCAGAGTTTTACATCCTCCTCAGTATGAGTCATTTGTTAGAATGGCTCACAGAACTCAGAATTACAGTTTACTTACTAGATTCCTGGTTTATTACGAAGGGTACAACTCAGAAACAGCCATACAGTAGAGATGTATAGGGCAAAGTATGGGGGAAGGGTGCAGAGATTCCGTACCCTCCCCAGACATGCCACTCTCTCAGTACTATGTGTTTGCCAAGCTGGATGCTCTCTGAAACCCATCTTTTGTGTTTGTCTGGAGGCTTCATTACTAGGTATGATTAAATATCATTGGTCATTGGTGATCAACTCAACCTTCAGGTCCTCTCAGTCTCAGGAGGTCAGTGGTGGGACAAGAGTTGTAATCCTCTAATCACCTGATTGGTTCCCCTGGCAGCCAGCCCCCATTCTGAGGTTCGCCAGGAGCTCCCAGCCACCAGTCATCTCATTAGCACACTAAAAGACTCATCACTGGAGATTCCAAATACTTTAGAAGTAGTATGCCAGGAAAAAAAATATAGATATCTATTCTTTATTTTATCACAGTATCTCAAGAGAAAAAGGTAATAGAGTATTCTAAAACTTCAAGGGTTTCATAAAGATCTACAATTAGGTAATAGAACATTTAAGGTCAGCTTTCTTGTAGGAAGAGATAGACTTGAATATTTATGCTTAAATAATTTTGAAATCTCTCCTCCCTTTATTTCCCACTCCCCATCCACTTACAGCAGGCATTCTGCAGCCAGGAATCTCTATTAATATGAAAACTCAGCTGGAGAAAACTTAATCAAACAGTCAGTCAATTTTTAAATTAAAAAAATAATAAAACACCTCTAGCCTTAAAAATTACTGTCGTTAATCAGTACTGGGAACAGCAGCAAATAATAAATGAACCTAGAACACCAATGGCAAAGAAAAAAGTTTATGACCTTGTTCAGAAAGACTTGTCCTGGAAAGGCCTCAACTAACAGGAAAAAAAAAAAGTGCTATTTGCCTCAAGACTTGAAAAGGATTTTTTTTTTTTTTTAAAAAGTAGCAACAGAGACCAATAGGGGGAAAAATTACCATCTTAAATACATTCCTACACATGTCAGAAATGAACTGACTTTTGAAAGTTATTACCTATTAATTGGAAAATCACAGAGCAGATGGAACCAATTAATCTACAATTACAGAATCACCACAATCCAAACAAAAATAATTAACTGATTTACAAGATATAATTTTTTAGGAAACTCTTCCTCATGTCTCTAAACTTGGGCAACAAACACAATATTTCATAGGCATAGGAGAGTTTAAGCCATCCCTGGGGGCTAAATTTCAGGATAAAAAGGGAGTTGAAGTGTGCAGTGTTTACTACCAAAGAAAAAATACAGAGATAAGGTATGTTAAGAACATTTATTTTAGAATGTTTGCTTTATATTGACTGTACATGAGGGATTGTGTTAGGTGCTCATTATACAACAGTGAACAGTGATCATCAACAAATATGGATCCTGCTATCATGAAGCCTACAGTCTAGTGAGAGGCAAACAGCAAATCACTACCAATAATGTCAAATTGCAACTGACACTGTGAAGAAGAACTATATAGTATATTATGAAACTGAAGGATGAAGATTTGCAAAAATTAGGGAGGCTGATGAAAGTTTTCCCAAAAGTATCGTTTCAGGTTAAATACTTGGAATTATCAAGAAGAAAGAAGGGCTAGGACAGGAAGGGTATTTTGACATATGGAACAGCCTATGCAAAGGCCTTATAGTAAAGGTAAATATTGCTACATGGGGGCCTTTAAAAGCCAGTGTGACTAAAATGCTGAAAGAGAGAGGAAGTTTGCTTATAACTACAGGGTAAAGCTTTCTAAGACTTGCAGAAAAAGTTTGATTTTGTCTTTCTATAAGCATTAGAAAATTATTGAAAGATTTCAGGGGCCACGGAATGCAGAGATTGAAGTGGTTGGATTTATTCCTTACAAGAGAGCCCTAGCTGGAGTAAGGAAAATGGATTAAAGCGACTTCAGTAGTTGTGAATCGTATATTTTCTAGACTCGGATTTTCCACTTGACCATACTCCATTTTGAATTATGCCTTACCCTGTTTTCATAAGTCTTGCCTTCTAAATAGATTTTCATCTATCTCAGGGCAGGTCATTTAACTTTTATTTCTTTCTTCTCCATATAGCTACCCATGAAGCTTTCAAAAAGCTGAGATTTAATCTTAGCACACTCATGCTTAAAATAAAGTTCACAACATTTAGAATGATGCCCCAGGCTTTTTGTGATCCAACCAGATGTTATCTTTCTAGCTTTATCTTTACCTCTCTCTCTGTATACATTGTGTTTCAATCTCATTAAACTACTTATAATTCCTGAGGTACATCATGCTCTTCTTTCATATTTTTGTAAAACTTATTGTTTAATCTCTCTTTCCAGACTATCCTTGCTTTCTTCCCCACTACATAACATTTTACTTATTCTTCTATTTTTCTTTTTCTTTTTTTTTTTTTAAGACAGAGGCTCACTCTGTCACCCAGGCTTGAGTGCAGTGGCACAATCTCGGCTCACTGCAACCTCTGCTGCCCAGGTTCAAGCAATTCTCCTGCCTCAGCCTCCCGAGGAGCTGAGATTACAGGCACCTGCCACCGCGCCCGGCTAATTTTTGTATTTTTTGTAGAGACGGGGTTTCACCATATTGGTCAGGCTGGTCTTGAACTCCTGACCTAATGATCCACCCGCCTCAGCCTCCCAAAGTGCTGGGATTACAGGCTTGTGCCACCGCGCCCGGCCTTATTCTTTTATTTTTCTATGTGAACACATCTTTGGTACTTCTCCATTCCTGCCCACAATAATTCATTTGTCTTATATTTTTGCATAGTGCTTTGTATATACCACTATATGCAGTTCCAACCCTATGATTTGATGTGAGTACCCTGGATCCTGAGATTGTGTGCTATTTATTTTTGTTATCTCAGAGCTCACCGTTATGCCTAGCACATAGTAGTGTTTCAACAGATATTGTTTGTATTATTTTCAGTTTGTTTCCTTACCAAATTCAATACTGGGCAGAGTGTTTAATGATGTCAACAAGCAGAAAGTTAGGGATCACAAAGGAATAAAGAAAATTTTGAAAGCCTCTAAAAAATTGTGACAAGCTCAGGTAATAACAAAGGCCCACAGGGTAAAAAGTATCATAATTTTCTAAATGACTGGCAAAATAGATAAAATATTGTAGCAGATGCTGCAAGAGTTATGAACTTTGTGCTCTAGGACAAATACTCAAAAAGATATATCAGGAAAATAAATATTTGCTAGACTGATAAAGAGTCTAACAAACTCATCTATATAAAACAATGAACTCATCTATATAGAAAAATAATAAGAGGGAGTGTCAATATTAGCATTCAGATATATCCCCTGATTCAGAAATTTCCCAATTCCCCTGGAGCCATTCTTAGGCTGCTTACTCTCATAACTGCAACCTGAACAACGTGGATTTAACTCTCTTTGCGGAGCTGACTACAGATGTCTCAATAACTATGTTTTTATAGGTATTTACTGCTTTATACTATGTGGAAAACCTGCCAGCTGGTACCCAGAGCCATCATTTCCTTCTTTATTTCTTGGTTATTAAAAAGAAAGAAAGAAAGATAATTTGTCAAACATTTAAATAAATTTATGGATAGAAAGTTAATAGAAAAATTTATCCTTTGGGTGTTTCCATCAGATTAAATATTAATGAATATTAGCTGTATAAACAATATATTCTCAGATATGATATTTTTATAGTCTGATTAAGAAATAGAGCATCGATGATCCATTCCCTAAACATACCATGTGCATTTACTAAATGTAAGGTCTTGGGACAAATGGAGATGAAGAAAATGTTTCCTGGTATAATGGCATGAGATCTAAGTGTCCAATTTTTGTATTTTCAAGACACAGTAACCCCCAAATACAAAATCTCAAAAAAATAAGTTTCAAAGTTGAGTCATATTAATACTATATATGCCTTTGATAGATGTCATGAAAATGGCACTTTAAATTTGTGGATTTCCTCCCCAAAACACATCACCTTAGTGTAATCATGATAAAAGCATCAGACAAATACCAGTTAAGAAATAACCTACAAAATATCTAACCAGTATTTCTTAAAACTCTGAGGGTAACCTAAAACCAGTAAAGTCTGAAAAACTCTCACAGCCAAAAGGGGCCTAAGGAGACCTGAGAAGCAAATATAATGTAGTATCCTAGATGGTAGGCTGGAAGAGAAAGAAGATATTAGTCAAAAACTGAATGAGTGGCCAGGTGCGGTGGCTCATGCCTGTAATCCCAGCACTTTGGAAGGCTGAGGAGGGCAAATCATGAGGTCAGGGGTTGGAGACCAGCTTGATCCATATGGTGAAACCCCGTCTCTACTAAAAATACAAAAATTAGCCCGGCGTGGTGGTGCACACCTGTAATTCAAGCTACTCAGGAGGCTGAGGCAGGAGAATTGCTTGAACCCAGGAGGCGGAGGTTGCAGTGAGCCAAGATGGCACCACTGCACTCCAGCCTGGACATCAGAGCAAAACTCCATCTCGAAAAATAAATAAATAGGGAGGCTGAGGCAGGAGAATGGCATGAACCCCAGAGGTGGAGCTTGCTGTGAGCCGAGATCGTGCCACTGCACTCCAGCCTGGGCGACAGAGCGAGACTCCATCTCAAAAAATAATAATAATAATAAAATAAATAAATAAATAAATAAAAACTGGACAAGTGAATAAAATCTCAATGAAGTATGGACTTCAGTTAACAATGTATCCATATTGGTTTATTAATTATAACCAATGTAGCATACTAACATTTGATGATGATAACGAGCAAAACTGTGTATAGAGTATATGGACAATCTCCATACTATCTTTGCAATTTTTCTGTAAATATAAATTCTCTAAATATAAAACCATTCTAAAACAAAAAAGTTATTGAGATTTTTTAAAAAATGTTCAAATAAATTGAAATTCAGACATTAAAGATACACTTTTTTTATATGAGTATCCCCCATGCATTTTGGGGCATATTTATAGTAAAATAAAAAATGGGGGTGTTGTTTATCTAAATTTTAAATTTAACTGGGTACACTGTATTTTATGCGGCAATTCAACATCTGGAGTTGATGTCTCCCAAAATAATGGTTTTCCACAAGTTTCATTCCAATATTATTGTCTCCAGAAAAAAGTAAAAACAGAATTAGTTTCAATGCAACCTAAGCAGAGAAATGTGAACTTTGCTCCAGGAAGTAATAGCCTCCTACTAAAGGAGCTGTGGGACCTATCACCACTGTAAACCAAGGTAAGGTGTGGAGGATGTTATACTGTTGAGGCTGGGGCATGAATACAGGAGTGCTTTTTGATATGAGGACACTCAGTTATGATTTAGGATTCAGTGTTGCATTGAGGACAGGTGGAGCTGCTTCCAATGTTTGTTGGTGTTTGTTTATTGAGGCAGGTCTCAATAAATTTTATAGAAGTTTATTTTGCCAAGGTTAAGGGCATGCCCAGAAGAAAAGAACACAGAGTCACAGAAACAGTCTAAAGTCTGTGGCTTCTCTCCAAAAATGATTTTGAGAACTTCAATATTTAAAGAAAGAAAGTGGGCTGATGGGAAAAGAGGGAGAGTATGGTAATCTGCGAGTTGCAAGAGAAAAGGAGTGAATAGAGGGATTGTCACTTATGCTCAGTAAATCAGCATTTTACATAAGATAAGGTGAACTTAAAGTAGCTACCTGTGGAGATATTTAATCTTTATTTGTACTCTCTGCTTAGGAACAAAAGAAAAGGCAGTTTCTTGCATGACAGATTTCAGCTTATTTTTTTTCCTTTCGGCATAGTGAATTGGGGTCCTGAGTTTTTATTTTCCTTTAACATTGAGAAAGCCTTTTAAAATTGGAATAAGAAAATGGTTTTCAGTTAAAGAAGTGGAGGCTTCAAACTTCTTTTGAAGAGGAGAGATGAAGGGACCAGAAGGTCAAAGAGGTGGGCTGTTAGAAAAGATTTATTAAATAAGACTTAAGAACCTATCACTTGCGGCACTTTGGGAGGCTGTGGTGGGCGGATCACAAGGTCAGAAGATGGAGACCATTCTGGCTAACATGGTGAAACCCCGTCTCTACTATAAATACAAAAAAATTAGCTGGGCGTGGTGGCAGGCGCCTGTAGTCCCAGCTACGGGAGGCTGAGGCAGGAGAATGGTGTGAACCCAGGAGGTGGAGGTTGCAGTGAGCAGAGATCATGCCACTTCACTACAGCCTGGGCAACAGAGCGAGACTCTGTCTCAAAAAAAAAAAAAAAACTACTACCACTTGAACATGTTTCTCAGGGAATGCTTACAATAATGGCTCTACAACTTTAATGTTGTCAACAAAAAGAGTTAAACTCTGTAAAATATTTTAAGAGATTTATTCTGAGCCAAATATGAATGACCCTGGCCCATGACACAGACCTCAGGAGGTCCTGAGAACACGTGCCCAAGGTGGTCAGGGTGCAGCATGAGACATCAAGCAAATATGTTTAAGAAATACATTGGTTTGGTCCAGAAAGGTGGGACAAGTTAAAGGTTGGGGGAGTGGGGGTGTGGGGCTTCCAGGATACAGGTAAATTTAAATATTTTCTGGTTGACAATTGTTTGAGTTTGTCTAAAGACCAGGGATCAATAGAAAGCAAATGTTCTGGTTAAGACAAAAGATTTTGGAGACCAGGGTTCTTTTTTTAAAATTTTATTTTATTTTATTTTATTTATTTATTTATTTATTTGTATTATACTTTAAGTTCTAGGGTACATGTGCACAACGTGCAGGTTTGTTATATATGTATACATATGCCGTGTTGGTGTGCTGCACCCATTAACTCCTCATTTACATTAGGTATATCTCCTAATGCTATCCCACCCCACTCCCCCCACCCCACGACAGGTCCTGGTGTGTGATGTTCCCCGCCCTGTGTCCAAGTGTTCTCATTGTTCAATTCCCACTTATGAGTGAGAACATGCAGTGTTTGGTTTTCTGTCCTTGTGATAGTTTGCTCAGAATAGTTCTTGTGAAGACTTATAGAGGCTTGCCTTAGAGACAATAGATGACAAATATTTCCTATTCAGACCTTCAAAAAGTGCTAGACTCTTAGTTACTCTCCTCAGGATTGGGAGAGCCTGTAAGAAAAAGATCTAGCAAGCTTAATAGAGATTCTTTACAGCTGCAAATTTTCCCCCACAAAGGATGACTTTGCAGGGCCATTTCAAAATAAGGAAAAGAAACATGCTTTGGGGTAAAATATTTTGACTTTCTTCTTTGTGAGATGATGTTATGCCAGAGTCAGATTGGAAGGTAAGTCGTGATATATAGGCTTAAAAAAAACCCATCTGATGAGAATTTATGTTTTGTAGGGCATGACTCCCCAGACCACTTAGATAAGAATTTGGGCAAGACAAGAAAAAAAAAAAAAAATCAGAGCTTAGTCCTAAATGTGCACCCAAAGTACCTGGAGATTTTGTTAAAATGCAAATTCTTATTCAATATATCTGGAGTAGGACTTGAGATTGTGCTACTGATATGAGAACCACACTTTTAGTGTAGACCTAACAGATAGTACCTTTAGTAAGATTTTAAGAAATGCAGTTGTGCATCAGCATGTTGGAAAAGCTTGCAGTTGCCTAGTTTCTGAAGGCTGGGGTTCATAGTGAGAGATGCCACAGTGAAATTGGTGTTTCTAATATTATAGAGATGAAGAAAATCTCAGAATGGCAGACTACAATTGACAACACTGAATTGACATGGAGGCTAGAGGGAAAATAGGGTTGTCTTTACCTGCAGGAATCTAGGATGATGGCTAATAGATAATAAAGTTCCTATGAACAGAATGTATTGTTAACTCAACCATGGCATTGATTTGTATAATAAAAAGAAAGAGAGGAGAGAGAGGGTGGGATGGAGAGACAGAGAAGAAAGAAAGAAAAGAAAGAGAGAGAAGAAAGAGAAGAAAGAAAGAGAAAGAAAGAAAAAGAAAGGGAGAGAGAGAAGGGAGGAAGGGAGGGAGAGAGAGAGGGGAAGGAAGGAGAAAGAGGGAAGGAAGGAAGGAAAAAAGAAAGAAAAAGAAAAAGAGAAAGAAAAAATTGAGAACTCTTGTCAGCCACTGAATGAAAAATAACTCGCCATAGCCCTGAGCTCTAGAGCCTATTGATTCAAAGAGAAGCTGAGTCTAATTATGAAAAAGGATCCTGAAAAGCTACTGCAAATGTATAAAAAAATAGTTCTCTATTTCTTCTCTGAAGAGATCTAGGCCATTTGTTGTGATTGGTGTATGTCCTAGAGAATGTAAGTCCCTGAATGATTATTGGGTTTTTTCTTTCTTTGAACTTGCAGGTCAATAATATCAGCCATTGCTTTCAGCCAGGGCTTGTTTCCAAATAGCCTTAAAATGTTCAAATTACTAATGAGGGCATCAAAGTTGGAGTTGAACTATGTTGTTTAGAAAATTTTAACCACTGCAGAAATGACTCAATACTCACACACCAACATTTCAGGACTCTACATTCATTTTAGGAAGTATGAGGGGCATAAGTTTGTGTGTGCGGCATGTTTAACATCACACATTTATATATATTCATGAACACAAAAATAAAAATTGACACTTATTTGTTAATCCCCATTTATTTTTTTCCAAGATAGAAACTTATGTTATTATCACTCTCTATTGTGATAATTTATTTCTAAACAATTTTTTTAAGACCTTGGGGGCTGAAATGTTTCCTCATTATATGCAGTATCTACTTCTATTCATTCTTCCTTTGATTTTCTTCACTTTTCCCAGTGTCTTGACTTAATTATGCTAAATATTCAAATATAAAATAGTCTGAGGTTTTTTCCTCTGAGTTCTCCTAAATTACACAGATAATTTCAAGCAATGAATAAATTTCTAGCAATGAATAAAACATTTGTGAAACTGAAAGTAATTTTTTAAATAAATGGGATTTTTCGGGTATGTGTGTTATTTTCATCTTTTTTCCTTTTTATTGAAGTATAGCATGCATAAATAAAAGGGTACATATCTTGGATGTGCAGTACAATGGATTTCCAAAAAGGATCACACTCATGTAACAAGAAATATTAATATTGCCTGAATTAAGCAATATTAATATTTTGATGCTATTGTAATATCTTTTAAATTTTTTATTTTTAGACGCTTATTGTTGGCATATAAATTTAAAATTGATTATGAATTTTGAAAAAAAGTAGAGCATCATCTTCATCCCAGAAGTCACCCTCACTCCCCATCCCTGTTACCAAGACACACAAAGGCAACTATTACTCTCACTTCAGCACATTTAAATAATGTTT
This sequence comes from Homo sapiens, assembly GCF_000001405.40. NCBI lineage: Eukaryota > Metazoa > Chordata > Mammalia > Primates > Hominidae > Homo > Homo sapiens. The sequence goes on along the minus strand of NC_000011.10, from coordinate 41,775,727 downwards.
CCTGGTCTTCAATTTTATGTGAATGGAATTATGTATTATGTACTATGTTTGTATCCTGACTTCTTTTGCTCAACATATTGTTTTTGAAATCCACCCATGTTGCCGCATGTAATTGCAGTTTATTTACTTTCATTACTGAATTCCATTTCATTATAATCCTTTCCATTATTTATGGTTGTTTCCATTTGCAGTCTATTACAAATAATGCTCCTATGAACATACTTGTATAATATTTTGGTGAATGTAAGTATGGAATTCTTTTAGATATACACCAGGGAATGGAATTACTGTGCCCTAAATTATGAGCTAATTCAGTTTTAGTATATACTGCCAAAGAGTTTCCTAAAGTGGCTGTCTCAATTTATACTCTCACCAGAAAAGTATGAAGATGCTTACTAACATTTGGAATTGTCAAACTTATTTATTCATTTTAGTCTTTCTGGGAGTTTTAGTTTGCATTTCCATGATGGCATATAATGTTAAACATATTTTCCTAAGTTTACTGGACATTTGGATATTTTTTAAAATTAAATATCTGTGCAAGAATGTTGTCCATTTTTTCCTATTGATTTGTCATTTTCACATTTAGGTATAAAATTATTTATACATCCTTAATATTGTTCTTTTAACAGATATATACATTAGAAATATTTTCTCCCATATTAGCTTGCTTGTGACATGTTGAGGGAAGTCAGGGACCCCGAATGGAGGGACTGGCTGGAGCCATGGCAGAGGAACATAAATTGTGAAGATTTCATGGACATTTATCAGTTCCCAAATAATACTTTTATAATTTCTTATGCCTGTCTTTACTTTAATCTCTTAATCCAGTTACCTTCATAAGCTGAGGATGTACGTCACCTCAGGACCACTGTGATAATTGTGTTAACTTACAAATTGATTGTAAAACGTGTGTTTGAACAATATGAAATCAGTGCACCTTGAAAAAGAACAGATTAACAGCGATTTTTAGAGAACAAGGGAAGACAACCTTAAGGTCTGACTGCCTGTGGGGTCGGACAAAAAGAGCCATATTTTTCTTCTTACAGAGAGCCTATAAATGGACGTGCAAGTAGGGAAGATTTCACTAAGTTCTTTTCCTAGCAAGGAGTATTAATATTAATACCCGGGGGAAGGAATGCATTCCTGGGGGGAGGTCTATAAATGGCTGCTCTGGGAATGTCTGTCTTATGCAGTTGAGATAAGGACTGAGATACGCCCTGGTCTCCTGCAGTACCTTCAGGCTTATTAGGGTGGGGAAAAACTCCGCCCTGGTAAATTTGTGGTCAGACCGGTTCTCTGCTCTCAGACCCTGTTTTCTGTTGTTTAAGATGTTTATCAAGACAATATGTGCACCGCTGAACATAGACCTTACCAGTAGTTCTGCTTTTGCCCTTTGTCCTGTTCTCTCAGAAGCATGTGATCTTTGTTAGACCCTTATTAGTAGTTCTACTTTTTGCCCTTTGAAGCATGTGATCTTTGTACCTACTCCCTGTTCTTACACCCCCTCCCCTTTTGAAACACTTAATAAAAACTTGCTGGTCTGAGACTCAGGTGGGCATCACGGTCCTACCGATATGTGATGTCACCCCCAGCGGCCCAGCTGTAAAATTCTTCTCTTTGTACTGTCTCTCTTTATTTCTCAGTTGGCCGACACTTATGGAAAAGAGAAATAACTTATGTTGAAATATTTGGGGTGGGTTCCCCCAATAGTGACACTCTTAATTATGTCTTTGAATTCATTTTAAATTTAGTATACACCTCTTTATCAAGTTTTCTTTTTAAGTGAATATTTTCTGTTCTTATTAAAAAAACTTTGGCTACCTTAAAATAGTAAGAGTATTTTTATATTTTTTTCTAAAAGTTTTATTGTTTTTTCCACATTTAGATCTACAAATCACCTATAGTTTTTTTTTTTTTTTTTTTTTTTTTTTTTTTTTTTTTGAGAAGGAGTTTTGCTCTTGTCACACAGGCTAAAGTGCAATGGCATAATCTCGGGTCACTGCAACCTTTGGTTCCCAGGTTCAAGTGATTCTCCTGCCTCAGCTTCCCAAGTAGCTGGGATTACAGGTGTTCACCACTACACCCAGCTAATTTTTGTATTTTTATTAGAGACAGCGTTTCACCATGTTCACCAGGCTGGTCTTGAACTCCTGACCTCAGGTGACCTGCCTGCCTCAGCCTCCCAAAGTGCTGGGATTACAGGCATGAGCCACTGTGCCCAGACAGTTGATTCTAATATATTGTATAAGGAACAAGATAAGATTTATTATTTTTCTATGTGAATATTTATTAAAACTTACACCATTTATTGAAAATACCATTTTTCCCCACTGAATTGCAGTGTTTCCTGCAAAAAATAAAGAGATCACTGACATCTAAGTGAGTCCAGTTCTAGATTTTCTCCACAGTTACATTGGTCAATGTGCTTATCTGTATGTCAACACCACACTATTTTAATTCTTACTATAGCATTATGTAAAGTGGACATTTATATGATAGTCCTCTAACTTCATTATTCAGTATTGCCTTAGTTATTCTGTGTCCTTTGCATAAATTTCTGTATAACTTTTAGATTCAGAGTCTTTTCACACACACACACGTGTATTGCACACATATACATACACACAAATCTGGTTATTTTATTTGAAAGGCATTTTAATCTACAGATAAATTTGGAGAGAATTTATGTCTTTAAAATACTGAGTCCTTCAATCCATGCACATTAAATGTTTCTTCATCTTTAAAATTAACTTTATTGTGATATAATTTACACAATAAACTGCTTCCATTTAAAGTGTACAGTTTGCTAAAGTTGACAGATGTATATACCCATAAAACCATAACCACACTCAAGACACATAAAATTTCCTTCACCTTCTAAGGATCCCCATATTTCTTTATGGTTCATTCCTCCCTCAGCTTTTAGTTGCAGGCAAAACTGATCTGCTTCTTGTCACTAGAAATTATTGTGTATTTGCTACATATGTGGCTCCTTTCACTCAGTATAATGATTTTGAGATTCATTTATGTTATTGTGTTTATCAATAGCTAATTGCCTTACATTTCCTCTCTTCTATAGATATAACATTGTTTATCAATTCAATTGTTAATAGAAATTTAGGTTGTTTCCAATTTGGGGCTCCTGTAAACAAAGCATTTCTTTTAGGTAAATACATAGTAGACTCTGTGGGCCATGTGATAGGTATATATTTGTGTTTTTATAATATCAGCAAACAGTTTTCCAAAGTGGTTATACCATTTTACATTCCAGAGGAATGTGAGAATTTCTTTCCTGTTTCAGAAGCTTGCTAATAACTTTAAACAAGCAAGTTTTACATTTTACCTGTAAAATTATATTTGTGTAAAATTCATGTTGTTTCCTCACTACTGTATAATCTCCCTACTATCTAAGCAATTGGCTATTTCACTTAATCCTCATGAAATATTCTGATGTAGATATTATTCCATTTTTATGTTTTATGAAACTCATGTATACAGAAGTTGAGCTGAGTACCTAAATTTTTGCAGCTAGAGAGTGGTGGAGTTGAAGTTTGAATTCATGTGTCACTGTTAGTCTTTGGGATCTTTTATTATACCATGCCATTTTAAAAAGTACAGTCTTCAGTAAGAATAAAGTCATATGTATAGAATTTTGAATAAGCATTGTAATGTTGTCTAATTTTTCCCTACTATATTAACAGACAGAAAGATAGCATAGTGCCTGAGAGAAGCTCAGTTTCCAGGTTCACATCTTAGCTGATGTGGAGGCTAAAGCAACTCCATCTTGGATGCTAATTTGCCATGTTGGTTTCTGACTAGCCCCAGTTCCAGGAAGTCCTTAAGGTTTCCTATTAACCTATTGTTTTTTATCTAACAGCAGGTACTTACTATCAAACATGCCCTCAGGTCAAGCAACCTTGATGTTATCCTATTTCAGTAGGATAACATCCTACACATCCCTTCTGAACCACATTTCCTGTGGCATATAAGCCCTAGACAAGATTCACCATCTTGTCTCGCTGCCATCCAAGACACAGACAAGCGTTCTGTTAATAAGTCCCTATTAAACACTTATTTCTGGAAACTGGATTTCTCAGCTTCTTTCTTTGGCCTCTCAGCTTCCTCTGAATTTGGGGTAGGTGTTGCATAGACCTGTGCTCTAAAAAACAGCTGGTTATCAGCTACAAACATTTGCACAGTCATTTACACATTGACTGACTTAACTTTTTAAATGTTTTTAATAATAGAACTTTTCTTATAGGGCTTTCATGTCAATGCAATGTAATTAATGCAGGTAAATGCTTATCGTAGTTTCTGACACATAGGAAAAATGAATAAGTATCACTGCCTCTATAACCCAGTGCTAAATAAATAGTAAGAATAACAGAAGCAAACAGAACTAAAATTAAGAAAAAAACTCTTCAAAAACTGCTTAATTTTATAATATGTTTAAGATTTTAGACTCAAAATTAAACATAAATATTAAAGTTAATATGAAATACATAATTCTATTCATTTGAAGTTCTCCTTTTTTTTTGAGACAAAGTCTCATTCTTGTCACCCAAGCTGGAGTGCAATGCTGCGATCTTGGCTCACTGCAACCTCCACCTCCCAGGCTCCCAGGTTCAAGAAATTCTCCTGCCTCAGCCTCCTGAGTAGCTAGGATTACAGGTGCCTGCCACCACACCTGGCTAATTTTTGTATTGTCAGTAGAGACAGGGTTTCACCATGTTGGCCAGGCTGTTCTTGAACTCCTGACCTCAGGCAATCTGCCTATGTCAGCCTCTCAAAGTGCTGGGATTACAGGCATTAGCCACCATGCCTGGCCTCTCCTTTTTATAATTTGACTGTTAGCATCCACTCCCTCTGAGAGTAAGAGCTATAACTACTGCATAAAGCTAGCGTTCCAAGTGGTCACATTTCCCATAAAATAGAGAGTGCTGTATAGAGAACACTTTATGTAGAAGAAAGCCAGAGAGAAGATATCCAATTGAGGACATGGAGAACAATAAGTAACTGACATTGCAAGAGCACCTGAGGACAGACTTACCTCACATGTTTTTTCTTTGTTTCTGAGATAGATCAGATGGGATTTCTGAGGGTTTTACTCAAAAGAGATTTACCTAATACACAGGTTGATTGTTTTTGCTGTGCAATCAACACCCCTTTCCTGAGCTCCTTCTCCTCATTGTAGTTTGTCTATCCATTTCTTCAAGGGATGCCACATTTTACTACAGATGTAGGAATTATCATTCAAAAGTTATTATTGAGGAAAAAAATAAAAATTACTAATTTACTTAGTGGAAGAATATCAGGAGTTTATTTCCCAGGAATGATGATGAACGTAAGTGTATTGTTGGGAACAAGCCCCCCAAAATCTGGCCATAAACTGGCCCCAAAACTGGCCATAAACAAAATCTCTGCAGCACTGTGACATGTTCATGATGGCCATAAAGCCCACGCTGGAAGGTTGTGGGTTTACTGGAATGAGGGCAAGGAACACCTGGCCCTCCCAGGGTGGAAAACCGCTTAAAGGCATTCTTAAGCCACAAACAATAGCATGAGCGATCTGTGCCTTAAGGACATACTCCTGCTGCAGTTAACTAGCCCAACCTATTCCTTTAATTCGGCCCATCCCTTAGTTTCCCATAAGGGATTCTTTTAGTTAATTTAATATCTATAGAAACAATGCTAATGACTGGCTTGCTGTTAATAAATACGTGGGTAAATCTCTGTTCAGGGCTCTCAGTTCTGAAGGCTGTGAGACCCCTGATTTCCCACTTCACACCTCTATATTTCTGTGTGTGTGTCTTTAATTCCTCTAGCGCCGCTGGGTTAGGGTCTCCCCGACTGAGCCAGTCTCGGCAGTGTATACCAGGTCATACAGGTGATCTCCATGCTGGCAGATCAGGCAATCCTGTGTCTACATGCCATTTCACTACCCCAGTAGACTTTCTTAAAATATTATTCATAATTGTTAATTCAGAGTGTTTTTGCTTGAGTAACATATTGTTGTGGCTTTTGTACTCCCATAGTTTGGCAAGCAGAAGCATTACAGCTCTTTTGCTTTGAACGTTTGGCAAGTTCCAGGTTCTTGTCCTGCAACTGAGAGGCATAAGGTATGCAGACACCAGAGAGAAGGTAAGGCAGATTAGAATTTATTGAGTGAAAGAAAAGCTCTCAACAGCGAGAAGGGACATGAACATGGGTAGCCATCTGTGAGTCCGCAATTTTTATGGGCTTAGAATTGGGGAATGCATGCTGATTGGTTTATGGGTGGACTTGGAATAGGTGCCATTTGATTGGTTAAAAGGCATCATTCAGAAAGAACCAATCAAGAGAGAGTAAGATAGGATGGAAGACCTCACTCCACTCTGTGGGTTCCTTTTTTTTTTTAGATAGAGTCTTGCTCTGATGCCCAGGCTGGAGTACAATGGCACAATCTCAGCTCACTGCAACCTCTGCCTCCCAGGTTCAAACAATTATCCTGCCTCAGCCTCCCAAGTACCTGGGATTACAGGCGCCCACTACCATGCCCAGCTAATTTTTGTATTTTTTAGTAAAGAAGGGGTTTTGCCAATTTGGCCAGGCTGGTCTTGAACTCCTGACCTCAAGTGACCCACCTGCCTCAGCCTCCCAAAGTGCTGGGATTACAGGCATGAGCCACTGCACCTGGCCCAGTCTGTGGATTCTATCCCGGACTGGTAGCTCAATTTTCAGGCTTTAGACAGCCCTTGGCTTGAAGGTGGAGTTTCACTGGGGACCTGTCCCTGTCTGCCTAGGAATTTGCCTGTCTCCTGTCGCTATCAACATCAAGTACAATCTTTCTTTTCCCCAATACAGCTTTATTGAGGTGTAATTGACTAATAAAATTGTAACTGCATGAGGTGATAGATGGGCTAACTTGATTGTTGTGTTCATTTCACAATATATACCAATATCAAATAATCACATTGTACTCCTTAATGGAGGAAGAGTACTTAAGTATACAATACAGTATTATTAATTATAGTCACTATGCATTAGATCCATGGAATATATTCTACACATCACTGAAAGTCTATACCCTTTTACCAACATCTCACAGTTTTCCCCACTCCCTATCCCTTGGCAACCACAGTTCTGCTTTCTGAGTTTGACATTTTAAGATTTTACATGTACGCGAGATCATACAGTGTTAGCTTTTCTCCAACTGGCTTACTTCACTTAGCATAAATGCCTGCCATGTTTATGCATATTCTTGCAAATGGAAGGATTTCTTTCTTGTTTAAGGCTGAATAATATTTCATTGTATACACACACCACATTCTGTTTATCCTCTCATTCAGCAGCAGACACATAAATTGTTTCCATTTTTTTGGCTATTGTGAATAATGCTGCAATGAACATGGGAGTGTGGATATTTCTTTGAGATACTGATTACATTGCCTTTGAAGATATACCCAGAACTACGATTGCTGGGCTTTATTGTAGATCTTTATAATTTTTTCAGGAGCCTTTATAATGTTTTCCACAACTCTAAATTGTTTTCCAAATGTACCAATTTACATTCCCACCAGCAGTGTACAGAAGTTTTCTTTCCTCCACATCCTCTCCAACACTTGTTATCTCTTATCTTTTTGATAATGTTCATCCTCTTAAGTGTGAAGTGACATCTCATTGTGATTTTAATTTGCATTTTCCTGATAATTAGTGATATTAGAAACATTTCTATATACCTGTTGCCCATTTGTATGTTTTCTTTATATGAGTCCTTTGATCATTTTGTAATCTGAATATTTATTGTTTTTGTGTGTGTTTGTTTGCTACAGTGTTGTATAATTTTCTTATGTATTTCAGATATTAACACATTATCAAATACACGGCTTCCAAATGTTTTTTCTCATGTTACGGGTTGCCTTTTCATTTTGTTAATTGTTTCCTTTGCAGAGCAGAAGCTTTTTAGTTTGATATAATCCAATTTATTTATTTTTATGTTGTCTGTGCTTTTGATGTTATATCCAAAAGTCATTGTCAGGATCAATGTCAAAGAGTTTTTTTCTCATTTTTAGGAGTTTTAAAAATTTCAGGTCATGTAATTAAGTCTTGAATCCATTTTGAATAATTTTGGGGGGAGTGATGTAAAACAGGAACCCAATCCCCTTGGTTTTTTAATACATGGACATCCAGTTTTTCCAATATCATTTATTGAAAAAAAATTTACTTTCCTTAGTTTGTATTCTTGGTACCCTTCTCAAATATTCGTGGCTCCATACACATGGCTGTATTTCTGAACTCTCTGTTTTGTTCCATTTGTTTATGTGTCTGTTTATATGACAGTACCATACTGATTTGATTACTATGGCTTTACAATAGAGTTTGAAATTGAAATGTGTGATGCTTCCATCTTTATTCTTCCTCAAGAATGCCTTGGCTATTTTGGGTCTTTTTGGTTCCATACAAATTTTAAGAATAAATTTACCCAAGGAGGTAAAAGATTTGTACTCTGAGAACTATGACATTGATAAAATAAATTGGAGAATATACAAATTAATGGAAATATCTCCTGTGTTCATGAATTAGAAGACTTATTATTATTAAAAATGCCCATACTCCCTGCTACAGTTTGGAGATATTTTCCCCCAAACCTCACGTTGAAATTTGATCCCCAATATGGGAGATAGGGCCTAACGGGAGGTGTTTGAGTAGTGGGGGTGGAATCCTAGTTAATGGCTTGGTGCCATCCTTGTGGTAATGAGTGAGATTTTGCTCTATTAGTTCCTGTGAAAGCTGGTTGTTAAAATAAAAACATTAAAAAAGGCTGGTATCTCCCCGTCCACTGCTTCTTTTTTTGCCATGTGATCCCTGCATATATTGGCTGTCCTTCTCCATCTGCCCTGACTGGAAGGAGTCTTAGGAACTCACCAGAAGCAGATGCTAGTGCCATGCTTCTTGTACAGCCTGCAAATCTGTGAACGACATAAGCCTCTTTTCATTGTAAATTACTCAGCCTCACATATTTCTTTATAGCAACACAAAATGACTAAGAACTGCCCAAAATGATCTATAGATTCAATGTAATCCCTATCAAAATTCTAGCAGCATTTTCACAGAAATATCAAATACATCATTGAACACCATGTTCAAGGAAATAAATTGAAAACTTCACCTTTCTTTGATGAAGAAGCTATACGAGACAGTAATAGTATCATGTGATTCCCCATTAGACAGATCTACATTTCAAAGGGCAGGATTTATTTTCCTCTTTTTTCATTTTATTTATTGATGTAGCCTGAAAATCAAGAACAGTGATGGGAATGTACTAGCCATTCAATAAAGTTTTGTTGAGTAAATAAATAAGTTTTCATTTCAGCTCTGTCAAATACTGACTGTTTTACATTGTAGAAATTATTTAATTTCTCTAAATGTGTTTTCACCAAGTGTGAGACTTGTAGTATTCCATTATAAACTGCAGGAAGATGCAAGAAGATTCTTTTGAAAATACATAGAGTGATACCAAAATGTAACCCACAGAGAGAAGCAAAAAAAGTTACATATTCATAGTTTAAGATCTTAAGCATTTTTTTTAAAAAAAGATGGGGTGTATACCAGAATGCCTATAGCCATAATAGTAAGATTTTGCAAGAACTGTGTCTCTTGACCTAATTCTCAAATAAGTGTTTCAATGAATAAAAAGATTTAGCTTATAAAACCAAAGCGGAAATGATATGCCAGTGTGGAGATCTTTCATGTGTGAGAGTATCAAAGTATAAGGATATTATTGGGTAAACCTTCAGTAATAATCTTCAGAAATAATTTGGTTATGCTTTTAGACAATGTTTTGGCATAAATATTGCAAGTGTTCCATCTATGTCTAGTATCTTCTGGTTCCCATTGAAATTCATTTCTTGTACTACAAAGGGAAAGATAATCTTTTGATTTTTTGACAATCCCATAAGCTTGTATGTTTAAGTTCATGGGACCTAATGTACTGAAGAAAGAAAATATGAATTATGCTGAATCATTTTTATCCTTCTGTATTATGATTTATATACCACAAGCAAATATTTATCAGGGAATTAACTTGGTGTCTTTCTTTGTAACTGTACTATTATTCTTGACACATACATCCTTTGCATTTTCTTTTTTTTTTTTTGCAACTTATGTCAGTTAGATAATGATATTTATAAGATAACTTTATTTTCAGAGATAAATTACTCAATTATTTGCTGAAATATATAAAGCTCACATCTAGTCTTCAGGTTTTTATTTGAAAGGGTGATACTTTATTATATTTCTCTTTGAAATCCACTTTTTCTAGTGTGGATATAGAAAAATTAATCTTTCTTTAACTAGTGTTAACATGGTTCATATTTTCCAACCCAAATAAAGTACTTTAATATATTTATGTTTTTATTTAAAGAATGTTGCTTATAAGCACCAAATACTTAATCTTTGCTTTTATATCCTATCTGATAATCTTTGTCTTTTTTATTGGAGTGCTGAGATTATGTACATGTAATGCAATTGATATGATTAGTTGTGTGTATCATCTTCTATTTGTTTTCTATTTGCCTCAACTTATCTTTATTACTCTTTTTCACTGTTCTATGATTTCATTTCATCTTGTTTGTTGACCTATTATAATAACTCTTGTCATTACTGTTGTTTTTTAAAGTTGATGGTTAAGATTTATGGTACACATCTTTATCCTAGTCTACATTCAAGTGATATTATACCACTTCATGCAAAAAAAAAATTCTGTGGAAAGGAGGCTGCTGCCCTCCAGACACCAGAATTGTAGAGCAAACAGCAGCATTCAATCTGAAAAGCTGTAGGCATTGAATTCTAACCCATGGAAATAGCCATGTGGGCTGCACCCAGGAAAGCCATGGGACAGGGCTGCCCAAGTTTTTGGAGGCCCATTCTTTCCACCAATATGGGATATGGAGTCAAAAGCAATTATTTTACAGCTTAAGGATTTAATGACTGCTCCATTGTGTTTTAGACATGTATGGACCTGTTACCCCTTTCTTTTGTCATGCCTCCATTTTGGAATGGGAATGTTTACCCGATGTTTCTTCCACCATTGTATCTTTCAAGTTAATAACTTGTTTTTCATTTTACAGGCTTATAGCCGGAAGAAACTTGTCTTGAGTTTCAGATGAGACTTTGGACTTAGGACTTTGGGGTTGGTGCTGGAAAAAGTTAAGACTTTTGGGAGATTTTTGGGAAGAAATTGTTGTATTTTATAGTGTGACAAAGACGTGAGGTTTAGGGTACAAGGGTGGGATGCTATAGTTTGGATATTTGGCCCTCCAAACCTCCCTATTGCTGAAGGTGTGGCCTAATGGAAGGTGTTTGGATCATGGAGACGGATCCTTTATAAATGACTTGGTGCTATTCCTGCAGTAGCAATTGAGTTCTCAATTTGTTGGTTCCCAGGTATGTTACTTCCACTGAGAGTTCCCTGAGAGCTGGCTATTAAAAAGAGCCTGGCATCTTCCCCCTCTTTTTTGCTTCCTCTCTCACCATGTCATCACAGACCAGATTCCCTTTGCCTTCCGCCATGAGTGGAAGCAGCCTAAAGCCCTCACCAGAAGCAGATGCTGATGCCATGCTTCTTGTACAGCTGCAGAACTGTGAGCTAAATAAACATATTTTCTTTATGAATGACCCAGCCTCAGGTAATCTTTTACAGCAACACAAAATGGACTAAAACAATGTTGCTCCACTGTCTTTTCACTTGCAAGGTTCTTGGTGATAAGTCTGTTCTCATCATTATCTTTGCTTCTCTGTCTTTTGTGCTCTGGCTTATTATTTTAAGATATTCCCTTTATCACTGGTTGTAAGTAATCTGATTATGATGTGTTTCTGAGTACTTTTAATCATGTTTTCTGTTATGTTAATTTTCTTGAATTTTTTGGTTAGAGGTTTCATCAAAATTAAAAACTTTGGACATTATTTCTTCAAATGTTTGTTGTATCACTATTGCTCTTCTTTATTGGTGGGGGGTTTCCAATTACATATTGCTTAAAGTTTTTCAACAGCTTACTGATGGTCTTCTCAATTTTGGGCTTGTTTTTTTTTCTCTGTGTTTAATTTTGAATGGGTTTCTTTGCCATGTCTTCAAGTTTACTAATCTTTTGCAAAGTTTAATTTGCCATTAACACTATTCGGTGTTATTTCACTTCAGATATCACTATTTTTATCTCTAGAATTTCTATTTGATTCTTTTAAAAATCTTCCATGGTTCTATTTAACTTTTCAGAAATCTGAAACTCAGATGTATTAACTATTTACTATCCATGTCTGCTAATTCTAATATCTGCATCATTACTGGGTCCCTTTTGATTAGTCAGTTCTTATCCTTATTATAGTTTGTATTTTCCTGCTCTTAACTAGCAATCTTTAATACATTTCTGGACATTTTTGAATTCTAGCTTGTTGAGTGCTGAAATTTTTTGTATTCCTATAAATATTCTTGCATTTTGTTCTGGGACATGGTTAAATGGCTTGGAAACCATTTGATCTTTTTATATTTGATAGGTTAAACTATAGCAATATTGTTCTAAGGCTCATTATCCCCCATTATGAGGGCAAGAACCTTCTTAGTGCTCTACTGAATGCTCCACTAATCATGAGGCTTTTTTTTTTCCTCTAGTGGGAACAGGCACAACCACCAGCCATTTATGTGCACTTTAAACTACTACCACTAACCCTCAAAGAGGTTCTTTCTCCATTGTCAGGTAGTTTCTTAAATTCATGTGCCAATTAGCACTCTGCTAAATATTTGAGAAGTGCCCCTCAAAATCTAGAATTCTCTCTTCACAGAGCTCTCTCTTCCCTGGGATTGTGTCCTGTGAACTATAGCCTCCCCACTCCTCCTTTTGTCTCTCTGGACTCTTTATCTCCTCAACTCATAGAATCCATCTGCTTTTTACTGGATTTCCCCTCCCTGCAATTTGGCAAAAAAAAAAAAAAAAAAAAATCAAGATAGTACTATAATAAGCTGAGACATGAGTAGGGTTTACCTCATTTGTTTTCCATCTCTGAGGAAACAATATCGATCAATATCAACATCAATATTTGTCTCCTATACCACGTGAAAAAGTATATTTTCTCAATTAAAAATAACTCTACCCCAATTTATGTTACAATTACATGTCCTCTTTCTACTTTCCTCTACAGAAAAGTCTGAAGAAGAGTTTTTTACTCATTATCGCTATTTCCTTATTCTTTATTAAAGCTACTCTAGTCAAGCAATAGCTCTGAAAACTCTCCCTTAATGTAAGATTTTCTGGGGACTCAGTCTTTAATCTTTTCTTAAGTTCCATTTATACTCCTTCCCATTGTGATCTCATTTAATGCCTTGCCTTTAAATAATATCTATATCCTTATCATTCCAGGTTTTAAACTCTCTGCCCAGAACTGACCCTGAAATTTGGGTCAATAAGAAAAAATATCTAACTTAAAATTCAGTATTTTTAATTGTGTTTCTAACAGCAGTCTCAGACTTAAAAATGCACATGTGATCTTTCAATTCCAAACCTCTTCCTCTTTCAGTCTTTTCTACTTCAATTACAAAATAATTATTTTACCTACATAGTCCTTAAACTCTGGGGTCATATTTGACTCTCCTCTAACATATCTTCATGCAGTTAGCAAATTCTGTTGACCCTGTTCTTAAATTATTTCTCGAATCTGACCAATTTAGCAATTTCTTGCTATCAGTTTGAAAAAACACACTATCATGTCTTGCCTAAATTACTGTAATTAGTTTCTGACTGGTCTCTGTGCCTCTATTCTTTGCTCAATTTATCCTGTTCTAAACTGAGCATCTAGAATCATCATATTAAAGATATGAATAAGTCACATTTGTGGGGAAAGTCCTCCAATGATGTTTCATTGCTCTCAGAGTAAAGTCAAAGTTCTTGTTACGACCTATGGGTCCTCATGCAATTTGAACCTAAACTGATTCTTTGACTTAATCTCTTTATTTTCTAATTCTTTGATTCTGCTTTAGTCACACTGGTCATCTTGTGATTTATTTTTCTTTTTTTAAAGTAGGCAGTCTGTCAGTGTGGGAGTTCTTAACACAAACAAAATAAGTTGCCAACATCCAGTTAATTAATTGAAAGGAGGGCTTCTATTCTGGTTGGTATAAGAACTGTTAAAAGGTCTGGGAAGTGGTGAAAGAAATAAGCCTGTGCCTTGTTGCAAAAAGTAGACCATTTAAGATCAGGGCAGTTTAGTGGACACAAAAACTCCCGTGACTTATTCTACTTTCCTGCTGCTGCATCCAGAGAAACAGAAAAAGATCCTCTTAAGGTGATAGATCTTAAATTGATGATTTGCTAATATCTCTGCTCAAAAGTGAGTCAAGAACTGGAAAGTGCTAACCTTGTAGGTCAAAGTTTTCATATGATTTTTCTTGGAGAATACCGATTCTCCACTTTACTATAATCTTACTAAGAATGTTTGAACATCACATGTAACCCATAAATATATACAATATGTACTCATAATAATTAAATTTTTTTAGTTGAAAAGAATGTCTAGGTAGTGGCTAGTAAATCAATATTTTAAAGAAGCTTATTGTATAATTTTTATGCTTATCAAGGTGCAATCCTAGCTGCACAAAAAATTTTCTGGTGATTTTTTTTAACGCCAATAGTCAAGAATAACCTCAGAAATTTGAGTCAAAAAGGAGCAAGATTGAGAACCCATGGTCAAACATAGGTAGAGATTAATATTTCTTGAATGATTAACTTATTAAAATATGAATTATTATATACCTACAATCATTGACAATTTTGTTGTCTCATTCTTTTTTCTACTATATTTTGTCACCACAAGGAAAAGATTAAGAAGCAAGTAACTCACTTTCACATTGTATTTCGGAAAGTCCTCATTATTTATTTGCTGCAATTTTTACCCTTGTTCTGCCTTTGCCTTCTTAGGAAAACCAGAGTCATCTTTCTAGAGCATAACCAATTATATTATTTCTATATCTAATAATGTTCCCCTTTATTAATCAAGAGCCTTTTGGTTGTAAGTGACAGAAACCCAACTCAAGCCAGCTAAATTTTTTTTAAAAAGTTAATTATTGGCCAACATAACTAAACAGATTAGAGCTGAATGTAAGATTCCATAGAATTATATTTCTTTCTATTTTTCAGCCCTAATGTTTTCTGTTGGCTCATTTCTTAGTCATGCACTTTCCTGTAATTCCAAAATCACTTTTTCCCAGTTTAGCATCCTTGGTAATCTAAGCAAAATTTCTAGGATTAACCCAGATTTATCCAATTTGAGTCATACATAGATTTATTTTATAGCCAAACTATGGCCAGTTATATACTGATCTGATTAATCAAGTATGGACCTCTCATGAGTGTACATTTTTTTGTTTTTTAATATATCTGTTCATATATGTTTGCTCCACCCAAGACATGTAGATTGAAAGTGACAAAGGAGTAGTTTCCCAGAAGACAAATAGAAGATTTTTACTAGGAGAAGAAAGGGAAACCTATGGAAGACAAAAATGACACAACAGAATATATTTAGAATAGTTTAATTAAAGCCTTATGCTAGTCCAAAACCTATTATTATTTGTACCCTATTTATCTCGAAAGCCCTAAAGGCAGTACTCCCCTCCCTTCACCCAATATTTCAGTCACATTGAGCCATTTGTTTCTGGAACAAGCCATAGTCATTTATACACCTTCCTTTGTGTGTGGTGTTTTTTGTATTAAGACTACTAGCCAAATTTCTTTTTCTCTTTCAAGGCATATATTTCAATTATCTATTGATATGTAACAAACTATTCCAAAATTTAGTGACTTTCAAAAACCATATTATTTGCTCATGAATTTGCAATTTATCAACACTTGGTAGAAGCATCTCCCACCTCTGCTTAATATAGTGTCAGCCAGAGTAGCACGGAGAGCTGGGGACTACCAGGAAGAAGTTGACTTGGGTTATACATCCATGACTTAAGTTGTCACTGTCAAATGGGTGTTTAACTGGAGCCATTCACAAGGACATCTTTGTTCTACTCCATGTGGCTTGGTTTTCTCATAGAATGGCAGCTAGACTTCAATGGGAAGAAGTGCAAGCTGCTTGACTTTTTAAGACTTGGAAGCCCCCAAACGTTACTTCTGCTGCATACTATTGGTCAAGAAGAGCTACAAGTCCAATTTAGATTTACAGGGAGGGAAAATAAGCTCTCCTATTTATATGAAGAACATCTGGGGAGCAGCCTACATATTTAAGTGGTGGTGGTGATGTGATAGGAGGTTTGTAGGGCTCTTCTTTGAAGATCACCTGCTGTGGCATAAGTGAAGCTTAAATATCTCAATTTTCAGTCAGGCTTTTTAATTAATTAATTTATTTTTAATTAATTATTATTTTTTAATTGAGATGGAATCTTGCTCTGTCACCCAGGCTGGAGTGTAGTGGTACAATCTCAGCTCACTGCAACCTCCGCCTCCTGGGTTCAAGCAATTCTCCCACCTCAGCCTCCTGAGTAGATGGGATTACAGGCTCATGCTGCCATGTCTAGGTAAATTTTTTCTTTTTAGTAGAGACAGGGTTTCGCCATGTTGGCCAGGCTGGTCTCGAACTCCTGACCTCAAGTGATTTGCCTGCCTCGGCCTCCCAAAGTGCTGTAATTAGAAGTGTGAGCCACCACGCCCGGCCTAGACTGTCTCAACCTCTCAAAATCACCAAGTAAAGTAAATTATTTTCTTGTCTTCATTCTTTTAGAGGAGTGTTTTTATAGTATGTTTACAGATTTGTTGAGGAAATGAATAGGCCCATTACAGAAAATGAAACAAAATATATAAATTTGGAAAGGACTTACCTAATAAACAGATTTCCCTATTGCAGAAATCCTGAGAATTTGTAATATACTAATGTGCCTTGTGATCCTCCCAGGGATAGAATGTAAGTTGGATAAGGCACAGGGAGAATTATAAAGTAGAACACTTCTCAATATATTTGACTGAGAATTTGTAATATACTAATGTGCCTTGTGATCCTCCCAGGGATAGAATGTAAGTTGGATAAGGCACAGGGAGAATTATAAAGTAGAACACTTCTCAATATATTTGACTGAGAATTTGTAATATACTAATGTGCCTTGTGATCCTCCCAGGGATAGAATGTAAGTTGGATAAGGCACAGGGAGTATTATAAAGTAGAACACTTCTCAATATATTTGACTTGGACTCCTTATATAAAGCAATTTCTGGGACAAATATTTTATAACACAGGTTTTAGTAAACCTGCCTTACCATTTTTACATTATAATTATTTGACTAATTATCTTAATTCTATTTGCAATCTTAACTCCGTTTGCCAGGCAAACTAATTGTAACAGGTTCTAGGATGGGGAGATCTTTTGGAGGAGGACATTATTCTTCCTAACACAATAAAAATATGCAGGAACAACATAGTTTTCGTATATATATACCCAAAGACAATCAAATTACATATGTGTGTGTATTATATATATGAATATATATAAAATATAATATATAAAATTTATATACAAAAAAATTTTATATATATATAAAAAACACTGTAACACTGTGGCTCCCCAATCATGGGAATTTTGTTGTCTTTGTCATTTTATTTGTAATACCTATTCCAGGGCCTAACATACAGTACACATTTAGTAAACATTTTAGAAAGAAGAAATAAAGAAAAACAGGGAGGTTGGAAGAGAGGAAAGAGAACTGTAAAACCCTTCATTATGTAAACACAGTCTTGATATATGCAATCTGACCATTTAGGCAATGCCTAATTCATTTGTTAGAACTCAGTCCTTCTGGGAAGATTATTTAGGGAAACTTGTCATGATTTCAGGCTGGCTAAAACTAGGCTGCTCCTGCATATTTCCATTACAGTATGAAGAATAACATCACCCTTAAAGGTGTCTACATCCTAGAATCAATTATAGTTAATCTGGCAAAGAGAATTAAGGTTGCAGTGGAATTAAGTTTGCTAATCAGTTGTCCTTAGAGAGGGAGGCAGGCGACAAACCAGAGCATCATGGTGTGAGAAGGACTTGGTCAGATGTTGCTGGCTTTGAAAATAAATGAAAAGGACAATGAGCCAAGAAATGTGGGTGACCTTTAGAGCCTGGAAAAGGCAAATAAGTGGATTCTCTCCTATAGCCTCCAGCAAGAAAACATTCCTACCAATACGTTAATGTAAGTTTGGTGGAACCCATTTTGGATTTCTTACTTCTAGAACTGTAATATAATAAATTTGTATTGTTTTTAAGCCACTATGTAGTAATTTGTTACAGCAGCCACAGAGATATAGACCAATGGAACAGAACAGAGCCCTCAGAAATAATGCCACATATCTACAACTATTTGATCTTTGACAAAACTGACAAAAACAACCAATGGGGAAACGATTCCCTATTTAATAAATGGTGCTGGGAAAACTGGCTAGCCATATGTAGAAAGCTGAAACTGGATCCCTTCCTTACACCTTATACAAAAATTAATTCAAGATGGATTAAAGACTTAAATGTTAGACCTAAAACCATAAAAACCCTAGAAGAAAACCTAGGCAATACCATTCAGGACATAGGCATGGGCAAGGTCTTCATGTCTAAAACACCAAAAGCAATGGCAACAAAAGCCAAAATTGACAAATGGGATCTAATTAAACTAAAGAGCTTCTGCACAGCAAAAGAAACTACCATCAGAGTGAACAGGCAACCTACAGAATGGGAGAAAATTTTTGCAATCTGTTCATCTGTCAAAGGGCTAATATCCAGAATCTACAATGAACTCAAACTAATTTACAAGAAAAAAACAAACAACCTCATCAACAAGTGGGCAAAGGATATGAACAGATACTTCTCAAAAGAAGACATTTATGCAGCCAAAAGACACATGAAACAATGCTCATCACTGGCCATCAGAGAAATACAAATCAAAACCACAATGAGATACCATCTCACATCAGTTAGAATGGCGATCATTAAAAAGTCAGGAAACAACAGGTGCTAGAGAGGATGTGGAGAAATAGGAACACTTTTACACTGTTGGTGGGACTGTAAATCAGTTCAACCATTGTGGAAGTCAGTGTGGCGATTCCTCAGGGATCTAGAACTAGAAACACCATTTGACCCAGCAATCCCATTACTGGGTATATACCCAAAGGATTATAAATCATGCTGCTATAAAGACACATGCACATGTATGTTTATTGTGGCACTATTAACAATAGCAAAGACTTGGAACCAACCCAAATGCCCAACAATGATAGACTGGATTGAGAAAATGTGGCACATATATACCATGGAATACTATGTAGCCATAAAAAATGATGAGTTCATGTCCTTTGTAGGGACATGGATGAAGCTGGAAACCATCATTCTCAGCAAACTATCGCAAAGACAAAAAACCAAACACTGCATGTTCTCACTCATAGGTGGGAATTGAACAATGAGAACACATGGACACAGGGTGGGGAACATCAGACACCGGGGTCTGTTGTGGGTGGGGGGAGGGGGGAGGGATAGCCTTAGGAGATATACCTAATGTTAAATGAGGAGTTAATGGGTGCAGCACACCAACATGGCACATGTATACATATGTAACAAACTTGCATGTTGTGCACATGTACCCTAAAACTTAAAGTATAATTAAAAAGAAGAAAAAAAAAAGAAAACAAATACTTTCATGGATAATTGCCATATTTTTAATTGACCAGTAAATGAAAATAAATTATATAGAAGCAACAATGGCACAACCCTGATTACACCATTTATTTTAATGGATTAATTTTTAATTATTATAAATTCTACTATGTAGTATGTTAGTAAATACACAATACACAACAGTACACTTTTTAAAAAATTACTAACCTACATTAATAGAGAATCTCAGTATGGTTTTGGTCCTTTGGTTATTCATAAGAAAGGTACTACAGCAAAGCATGAATGAGTATTTGAGGACTATGGAAATTATTTAGGCTATATAATTCCAGGAAGCATTGTTTTTAAGGATGCTATTCAGCATACAGAAGCACAGTAGAAAATATTTTAAAAGAAAAAATACACATTTCAAAATGTGTAAATTTTAATAAGATATAAATAATTCCTTAAAGGGTATTCAATTATTTAAACTTCCTTTCTTCAAGTAGCCATTGAGTATCTACTGTGTCATGGTGTAAGATGGGGTAATATACTGATAATTAATACATGGTCTCCTAAGGTTCAGATCCCTTATTGAAGGAAACAGACAAATATTTAATAGGAGTAAATGAGGCTCTAATAATAAGTAAAAAGTAATATAAAATTTCAGATGAGATTTTAACTATTCAGAATTTTTAAAAAGACTTTGACCATTGAATAATATTTCACTGAGCCTTCAAAGTTTTCAGATGAACATAGAAAAATATATTCAAGGAAGGGGAGAAGTTACTCACAAAAGTATTTATACCTCAGAAATGGCTGAGATATGGAAAGTAACTTGTGGCACTTGGATAGAGACTGTGTATGGCTAATGGAGGCAAGATGGAAAGGATGGAGCATATTGAAAAATTATCCTGGAAAATCATGTAGGGGCTAAGAACATGAAAGTCTTCAGAAACATATTAAGAATGTTGTACTTCTTCTGGAAGAAAATGGAAAACAGTTAAAGAACTTTTAAACTGACATATAACATAACAAATTTGCTTCAGAGTAATTTAAAGGTGATGACGATTGAGAGATGTTACTATTTAATAAAATGAATGAGGGAGGATAGAAGGTAGGACTAGCTTGCAGCTCCCACTGGGACAGACAGAGCAGCATGTGGAAACTCACATGATAAACTCTTGCTCCAAGAACTACCACCACAACATAACAGGAAAGCTGAGAGAATCCACAGACCCTTTGAAGAAACTGGTCATTGCTGCAGGCTTTCTGAGATGCCAAAAAAACTGTGAGTTGGCTTGCTTTCTCAGAGGGGAGGCTGGTGGTTTGGGGCAAGTTCTCAGCCCTGGTCAACAGCTGCCTGGAAATAGACTCAGTGCTGTTTGTGGGGTACAGTGGGAATGAGATTGGCCTTTAGGACTGTGAGCTGCAGGGGGTGGGGTGGGGCCTGTGACTGAGGGCTTTCCCCCATTTCCCTGGTGACCTGTATGACACAGCAGAGGCCGCCATAATCCCCCTTGGAATATAACTCCATTGGCTTGAGAACCACACCCGCATTCCCCACAGCAGCTTCAGCAAGCCCCACCCAAGGAGAGTCTAAGCTCAGACACACCTAACCCTGCCCCCACCTGGTGGCCTTTCTCTACTGGCCCTGGAAGCGAAAGACAAAGGACACAATCTCTTGAGAGCTCCATGGCCCTGCCCACCTCCTGAGAAAGCTGAATACTTAACCAGCCCACCCTAGGGCAAGTTTGCTTTCTCCCTATAGTACCACAGCTGATGCACTCTGGAAAGCACTTGTCCTGGCTGCACACCAATCAACACTAAACAAAAATACAATAAAGGACTCTAACATAGAGTCCACCTCATGTCCCTCGTGTGTTCACCAGAGCAGATGCTAATATCCAAGGCTGAAAGACCTGAAGACAGATCGCATCACAGGACTCTTTGCAGATACTCCCCAGTACCAGCCCAGAGCCTGGTAGCTCTGCTGGGTGGCTAGACCCAGAAGGGTAAAAACAATCACTGCAATTTGGCTCTCAGGAAGCCCCATTCCTATGGGAAGTGGGAGAGCACCACACCAAGGGAGCATCCCATGGGACAAAACAATCTGAACAGCAGCCCTTGAGTCCTAGATCTTCCCTTTGACATAGTCTACCCAAATGAGAAGGAACTAAAAAACAATTCTGGTAATATGACAAAACAAGTTTCTTTTAACATCCCCAGAAGATCACACCAGATTACCAGCAATGAATCCAAACCAAGATGAAATCTCTGAATTGCCAGGAAAAGAATTCAGAAGCTTAATGATTAAGCAAATCAAGGAGGCACCAGAGAAAAATGAAGTTCAACTTAAAGAAATCAAAACTAAGCCGGGCATGGTGGCGGTGGCTCACGCCTGTAATCCTAGCACTTTGGGAGGCCAAGGCAGGCAGATCACGAGCTCAAGAGATTGAGACCATTCTGGCCAACATGGTGAAACCCCATCTCTACCAAAAATAGAAAAATTAGCTGGGTGTAGGGGTGCACGCCTGTAGTCCCAGCTATTCAGGAGGCTGAGGCAGAAGAATCACTTGAACCCAGGAGGCAGAGGCTGCAGTGAGCCAAGATCATGCCATTGCACTCCAGCCTGGGTGATAGAGAGAGACTCCATCTTAAAAAAAATAAAAAAAGAAAAAGAAAGAAAATAAATCAAAAACATGATACAGGATATGAAGATATGAGAGAAAAAATCTTCAGTGAAATAGCATAAATAAAAAACAATCACAACTTCTAGAAATTGTGATTTTGAGAAAGGACACACTTAGAGAACTGAAAAATGCACTGAAAATCTCAGCAATAGAATCAAACAAAAAGAAGAAAAACTTCAGAGCTCAAAGACAAGGCTTTCAAATTAACCCAATCCATCCAAGACAAAGAAAAGTCTGGAAAATTTATTTGAAAGAATAATTGAGAAAAACTTCCCCGGCCTTGCTAGAGAACTACAAATTCAAATATAAGAAGCTCAAAGAACATCTGGGAACCGCATCACAAAAAGATAATCACCTAGGCACATAGTCATCAGGTTATCTAAAAGCAAGATGAAGGAAAGATTCTTTTTTAACATTTTTTAAAAATTTTTTTGGGATGGAGTTTCACTCGTGTTGCCCAGGCTGGAATGCAGTGGTGTGATCTTGGCTCACTGCAACTTCCACCTCCTAGGTTCAAGTGATTCTCCTGCCTCAGCCTCCTGAGTAGCTGGGACTACAGGCATGCACCACCACATCTGGCTAACTTTGTATTTTTGGTAGAGACAGGGTTTCTCCATATTGGTCAGGCTGGTCTCAAACTCCTGACCTCATGATCTGCTTGCCTCGGCCTCCCAAAGTGCTGAGATTACAGGCATGAGCCACCGCACCTGGCCAGAAAGATTCTTAAGAGCTGTGAAGCAAAAGCATCAGGTAACTTATAAATGAAAACCTATCAGCATAACAGCAGATTTCTCAGCAGAAACCCTACAAGCTGGAAGGAATTGGGGTCCTATTTTTAGCCTCCTTAAAAAAAACAATTATCAGTCAAGAGTTTTGTATCCAGTGAAAGTAAGTTTTATAAATGAAGGAAAGATTCAGTTTTTTACAGACAAACAAATGCTGAGATAATTTACCACTACCTGGTCAGCACTACAGGAACTCCTAAAAGAAACTCTAAGTCTTGAAACAAATCCTCAGAATACACCAAAATAAAACCTCCTTAAACCATAAACCTCACAGGACCAATATAACAATAACACAATGAAAAAAAGATATTCAGGCAACAAATAGCACAATGAATAGAATAGTACCTCACATCTCAATGCTAAGGTTGAATGTAAACGGCCTTAATGCTCCACTTAAAAGATACAGAATGGCAGAATGTATAATAATTCACCAACTAAATTTCTGCTGTCTTCAGGAGACTAACCTAACACATGAGGACTCACATAAACTTAAGGAAAAGGAGTAGAAAAACATATTCCATGAAAATGGACACCAAAGGCAAGCAGGAGTCACTATTCTTATAACAGACAAAATGAACTTTAAAGCAATGAAAGTTAAAAAAGACAAAGAGTGATATTATATAACAATAAAAGTTCTAGTCTATTAGGAAAATATCAGAATCCTAAAAATCCTAAGAAATCCTAAATAAATACGTATCTAACACTGAGCTCCCATATTTTTGAAACAGTTACTACTAAATCTAAGAAATGAGATGGACAGCAACATAATAAGAGTGGGGGATTTCAATACTCCCCTGGCAGCACTAGACAGGTCATCAAGACAGAAAGTCAACAAAGAAACAATGGATTTAAACTATATCCTAGAACAAATGGACTTAACAGATATTTACAGAACATTCTACCCAACAACTGCAGAATATACATTGTGTTTATCAGCACATGGTACATTCTCCAAGATTGGGCACAAAACAAGTTTCAGTAAATTTAAGAAAATCAGGGTTATATCAAGTAATCTCTTAGACCACAGTAAAATAAAATTGAAAATCAACTCCAAAAGGAACCCTCAAAACTATGCAAATATATGAAAATTAAATAACCTGCTTCTAAGTAATGGTTGGATCAACAATGATATCAAGATTTCATTGGAACTTCGTTGGAATTTAAATTTCAAGGAAATTTAAAAATTATTTGAACTTAATGATAATAGTGACACAACTTATCAAAACCTGTGAGACACAGCAAAAGCAGTACTAGGAGGAAAAGTTCATAGCCTAAAATGTCTAAATCAAAAAGTCTGAAAGAGCACATATAGGCAATCTAGGGTCATGCCTCATGGAACTGGAGAAACAAGAACAATCCAAACCCAAACCCAGAAGAAGAAAAGAAATAACAAAGATCAGAGCAGAACTAAATGAAATTGAAACAAAAAAAATACTAAAGATAAATGAAACAAAAAGATGGATCTTTGAAAAGACAAATAAAATTGATCAACCATTAGCAAGATTAACCAAGAAAAGAGAGAAGATCAAAAAAAGCTCAATTAAAAATGAAACAGGAGATATTACTACTGGTACTACAGAAATATAAAAGATTATTCAAGGCTACCATGAACACCTTTACATGCATAAACTAGAAAACTTAGAGGAGATGGATAAATTCCTGGAAATATACAACCCTCCTAGATTAAACCAGGAAGATTTGGAAACTCTGGACAGACCAATAATAAGCAGTGAGATTTAAACAGTAAATAAAAAATTGCCAACAAAAAGTCTAGGACCAGAAGGATATACAGTTGAATTTTATCAGACATTCAAAGAATAGATACCAATCCTATTGACACTATTGCACAGGATAAAGAAAGAAGGAATCCTCCCTAAATCATTCTATGTGGCCAGTATCACCCTAATACCAAAACCAGGGAAGGACATAACAAAAAAGAAAACTACAGACCTTGATGAACGTAGATGCAAGAATCCTCAACAAAATACTAGCTAACCAAAATCCAATAGCATATCAAAAACATAATCCACCATGATCAAGTGGGTTTTATTCCAGGGATGCAGGGATGGTTTAACATTTGCAAGTCAATAAATGTGATACACATCACATAAAGAGAATAAATACCACATAAATAGAACAATCATCACATGGTCATCTTTATAGATGCAGAAACAAGCATTTGACACAATCCAGCATACCTTTATTATTAAAACCCTCAATAAAATTGGCATGGAGGAGACATATAAGATAATAAAAGCCATCTATGACAAGCTCACATCCAACATTATACTGGACAAGTAAAAGTTGAAAGCATTCCCCCTGAGCACTAGAACGAGACAAGAATGCCCACTTTCATCACTTCTATTCAACATAGTATTGGAAGTCCTAGCAAGAGTAATCAGACAAGGGAAAGAAATAAAGGGCATCCAAATCAGTAAAGAGGAAGTAAAACTGTTGCAATTTGCAGATGATACGATCATATACCTAGAAAGCCCTAAAGACCCATTCAAAAGTCTCCTAGAATTGGTAAATAATTCAGCAAAATTTTAGGATAAAAAAATTAATGTACACAAATCAGTAGCTCAGCCAAGCACCAACAGTGATCAAGCTGAGAATAAAATTAAAAATTCAACCCCATTTACAATAGCTGAAAAAAAAAAAAAAAAACAACTTAGGAATATACCTAACAAAAGAGGTGAAAGACCTCTACAAGGAAAACTACAAAACACTGATGAAAGAAATCACAGATGACACAAACAAATAGAAACACATCCTATGCTCATGGATGGGTAGAAATCAATATTGTGAAAATAATCATAGTGCCAAAAGCAATCTACAGAGTCCATGCAATTCCCATCAAAATTTCACCATCATTCTTCACAGAACTAGAAGAAAATAATTCTAAAATTCATATGGAACCAAAAAAGAGCCCGCACAGCCAAAAAAAAAAAAAAGACTAAGCAAAAAGAACAAATCTGGAGGCATCACTTTACCTGACTTCAAACTATAGTATAAGGCCATAATCACAATCACCAAACCAGCATGGTACTTGGATAAAAATAGGCACAAAGACCAATGGAACAAAATAGAGAACCCAGAAATAAAGCCAAATACTTACAGCCAACTGATCTTGAACAAAGTAAATAAAACCATAAAGTGGGGAAACGACACCTTATTTCAACAAACAGTGCTAGGATAATTGGCAAACCACATGTGGAAGAATGAAACGATTTTCATCTCTCACCTTATGCAAAAATCAACTCAAGATGGATGAAAGACATAAATCTAAGACCTGAAACTGTAAAAATTCTAGAAGATAACATTGGAAAAACCCTTCTAGACATTGCTTTAGGCAAATACGTCATAACCAAGAAGCCAAAAGCAAATGCCACAAAAACAAAGATAAATAGATGGGACTTAATTAAACTAAAAAGCTTCTGCACAGCAAAAGAAGTAATCAGCAGAGTTAACAGACAACCCACAGAGTGGGAGAAAATCTTCACAATCTATATTGACAAAGGACTAATATTACTCAGCAATATAAAGAAATGAAACAATGGCATTTGCAGCAACCTGGATGGAATTGGAGACTATTATTCTAAGTGAAGTAACTCAGAAGTGGAAAACCAAACATTGTATGTTCTCAGTCATAATTGAGAGCTACGCTATGAGGATGCAAAGGCATAAGAATGATACAATGGACTTTGGGGACTCTAAGGGAGGTGAGGGATAAAAGACTACACATTGGGTGCAGCATACACTGCTTGGGTGATGGGTTCACCAAAATCTCAGAAATCACCACTAAAGAACTTATTCATGTAACCAAGCACCACCTGTTCCTCAAAAACCCATCGAAATTAAAAATTAAAAATTATATATGTGATAAATAATTAAAAATATTTAAAAACTAAAATGAATCACGATCACATGATGAAAACCGAAATAAGGAAGGTGGTGGTTGGTTGAAACTCTGGAGATTAAGAAAATAGACATTGAAGAGGCAGATGCTGTAGGATTTGGTGACTACGAAAAGCTGGAATGAAAAACAATTCTAATGGTTATAGTTTAGGCAACTTGTGAAACTATTCTCTTTCTTTTTTATTCTTTTCTTTTTTTTGAGACAGTTTCACTCTTGTTGCCCAGGCTGGAGTGCAATGGTGCAATCTCAGCTCACTGCGACCTCCACCTCCCGGGTTCGAGCAATTCTCTTGTCTCAGCCTCCCAAGTAGCTGGGATTACAGGCATGCACCACCACACGCGGCTAATTTTGTACTTTTAGTAGAAACGGGGTGTCTCCATCTTGGTCAGGCTGGTCTTGAACTCCTGACCTCAGGTGATCCACATGCCTCAGCCTCTCAAAGTGCTGGGATTACAGGCATGAGCCACCGAGCCCGCATATTCAGATATCAGAATAAGGCAAAACATACATATTGTTTATCATAGTTAGGATTCTTTTTCATGTCAATAATAGAAAATGCAAATCAAATTTGTTATATAAAATAAGGAAATATAGAGTTTTATCAATCTGATTGCAATAAGAACTGTAAAGAGGCTTGAGGCAGTGAGTCAAATAATGTGATTAAAAATAGTTTATATTGGCCAGGCACGGTGGCTCACACCTGTAATCCCAGCACTTTGGGAGGCCGAGGTGGGAGGATCACCTGAGGTCAGGAGTTCAAAACCCGCCTCTACATTGAGAAACCCTGTCTCTAACAAAAATACAAAATTAGCTGGGCATGATGGTGCATGCCTGTAATTCCAGCTACTCGGGAGGCTGAGGCAGGAGAATTGCTTGAATCTGGGAGGCGGAGTTTGTGGTGAGCCGAGATCATGCCATTACACTCCAGCCTGGGCAACAAGAGCAACACTCCATCTCAAAACAAACAAACAAACAAAAACAAAAATAGTTTATATCTTTTTTCAACTCTGCTTCCATTGCTATTCTCTTTACATTCAGAGAACTGCCTCCAACAAATAGTTTTGCATGTGAAATCTTGCTAAATAATGTCTTAATGATTGTTTTCTATTTTTCATAATATTTATATAGAAAAAAATAGGTCTCAATTCCGTTCATTTCTAGAACCGAAAATAAATGATTACAATTTAAAGTAAGAGCCCCCTGAATGTATGCTTTCCAAAATTTAGAATTATACTAAAAAAATAAATTTTAAAAAATGTATTACTTTTATACTGATAAAATACACACAACATAAAATTTACCATCTTCACCATTTTCAAGTACAGAGTTCAGTGGTTTTAAATATACATGACATTGTTCAGCAATCACTAACATCAATCTCCATAACCCTTTCTTCTTGCAAAACTAAAACTGTGTCCATTAAACTGTAACTTCCAATTTCCCTGTCCCAACAGCTCCTGGTAACCAATATTCTACTTTATCTCTGTGACGTTGACTATTCTACTTTATATAAATGCAATCATGCAGGATTGGTCTTTTTGTTCCTGATTTATTTCACTTACCAATAATGTTTCCAAGATTCATCATAGTTATAGAATGTGTCGGAATTTCCTTCCTTCTTAAGGCTGAATAATTTCTTGTTGTATGTATATACCACATTTGCCTTATCCATTCTACGAATGGATACTTGGGTTGCTTTACATTTTAGCTGTAATGAATATTGGTGCTATGAATGTGGGTGTGCAAATATCTCTTTGAGAGCCTGTTGGTAATACTTTTCGGTATATACACAAAAATGGAATTGCTGGATTGTGTGGCAATTTTATTTTTATTTTTTTAGGCAGCATACTGTTTTCCATAGCAGCTGTATTATTTTTATTTCCAGTGCACAAGTTTTCAAAGTTTTTTACAACATCCTTGCCAACACTCATTTTCTGTTTTTTTAATTTTTGATAATAACTATTCTAATGGGTGTGTTGATATTTTATTGTCGTTTTGATTTGTATTTATATAATGATCATGAGGTTGAACATCTTTCAATTTTCTTATGGATCATCTGCATATCTTTAGAGAAATGTCCATTCAAATATTTTGCTCATATTTGAATTGGATTTTGTTATTGGGTTTTAGAAGATCTCTATATATTCTTGATTTCCGTAACTTACCAGATACACGATTTGCAATTTTTGTCCAATTTATGGGTTACCTTTTCACTTTGTTGATAGTGTTTTTTTGGTGCACGTTTTTCAATTTTTATGAAGTCCACATTTCTCTACATTTTTTTTCTTGTTGCTTGTGCTTTTGATGTCACATACAAGACATTACTGCCAAATCCAGTGTTGGAAAGACTTTGACCTAGATTTTCTTCTAAGAGTTTTATAGGCTTATGTCTTATGTTTTGAACTTTGATTCATTTTGTTTTGCATATGGTGTTAGGTAAGGATTCAACTTCATTTTTTTGTTTGTTTTGTTTTGCATGCGAACATCCAGCTTTCCCAGCATCATTTGTTGAAAAACTGTTATTTTCTCATTAAATGGTCTTGGCATTCTTGTTAAAAATCATTTGTTCATATGAGTGGTGGTTTATTTCTGGGTTTTTATTCTATTCCATTGCTCTATATGTCTGTCTTTATGCCAGTAGCACAGTATTTTAATTACTGTATATTTGTAGTGAGTTTTGAAATAAGGAATTTTGAGTCCTCCAGGTTTATTTTCATTCAATATTGTTGTTGCTATTCAGCGTTCCTTGAGATTCCATATAAATTTTAGATGGCCTTTTCTATTTTTGTAAAAAAAGAAAAAAAAAGGTCATTGGAATTGATACAGCTTGCAGTAAATCTGTAAATTACTGTGTGTCTTGTTGACACCTTTATAATATTGTCTTCCAATTCATAAATGCAGGATACATTTTCATTTACTTATGGCTTTTTAAATTTTTTTAGCATTTTTTATAGTTTGAACTTATAAGGCTTTTATCACCTTAATTCCTAAATATCTTATTCTTTTTTAAAAAAACAGCTATACTGAGATATAACAAACAGGCAATGCAATTCACTTACTTGATATATATAATTCAAGTTTTTACTATAATTGCAGGGTTTTACATTGGCCACCATGATGCACTTTTATAACATTTCTGTCTCTCAAAAAAAAAAAAAAAACTCCGTATCCTTTAGCAGTCATTCGTATTTCAATTCAACCCATCTCCCAGCCTTAGGCACCCTTAATCTACTTTCTATCTCTATTGATTTGTCTTTCTTGGACATTTAATATAAAAGGATATAAGTATTTTATACTTATTATGATATGGTAAATGAGATTTTTTCACAATTTCTTTTCAGATTGTTCATTCTATATAGTGTATTATAATACTTTGCCAAATTATTTTCTTTAATAGTTGTAAAATTTTTGTAGAATTTTAAGGATTCTCTACATATAAAATTATATAATCTACAAACAGACATCATTTTCTTTCTTCCTTCTCAATTTGGATGCTGCTTAAATAGTTACTTACATTTCAATTTTTTTTCCTAATTGCTTTGGTTAGAACTTCCAGAACAATGTGGATTATAAATGGCGAAAGTGGGAATCCTGGCCTTGTTTCTGATTTTAGAAAAAAGGTCTTTATCCATCAAGTAAAATGTTTGCTGTGGGCTTTTTTATATATGGTTTTTATTAAGATAATGTAGTTTGCGTGTATTTCCAGTTTGTTGAGTGCTTTTATTTTATTTTTTATTTTTTATTTTTTTTATTGGATGTGTCTTGGTTTCTTTCTTTTTTATTATTATTGTACTTTAAGTTTTAGGGTACATGTGCACAACGTGCAGGTTAGTTACATATGTATACATGTGCCATATTGGTGTGCTGCACCCATTAACTCGTCATTTAACATTAGGTATATCTCCTAATGCTATCCCTCCCCCTCCCCCCACCCCACAACAGGCCCCGGTGTGTGATGTTCCCCACCCTGTGTCCATGTGTTCTCATTGTTCAATTCCCACCTATGAGTGAGAACATGAGGTGTTTGGTTTTTGGTCCTTGTGATAGTTTGCTGAGAATGATGGTTTCCAGCTTCATCCACATCCCTACAAAGGACATGAACTAATCCTTTTTTATGGCTGCATAGTATTCCATGGTGTATATGTGCCACATTTTCTTAATCCAGTCTATCATTGTTGGACATTTGGCTTGGTTCCAAGTTTTTGCTATTGTGAATAGTGCCACAATAAACATATGTGTGCATGTGTCTTTATAGCAGCATGATTTATAATCCTTTGGATATATAGCCAGAAATGGGATGGCTGGGTCAAATGGTATTTCTGGTTCTAAATCCCTGAGGAATCGCCACACTGACTTCCACAATGGTTGAATTAGTTTACGGTCCCACCAACAGTGTAAAAGTATTCCTATTTCTCCACATCCTCTCTAGCACCTGTTGTTTCCTGACTTTTTAATGATCACCATTCTAACTGATGTGAGATGGTATCCCATTGTGGTTTTGATTTGTATTTCTCTGATGACCAGTGATGATGAGCATTTTTTCTTGTGTCTTTTGGCTGCATAAATGTCTTCTTTTGAGAGGTGTCTGTTCATATCCTTTGCCCACTTGTTGATGGAGTTGTTTGTTTTTTTCTTGTAAATTTCTTTGAGTTCCTTGTAGATTCTGGATATTAGCCCTTTATCAGATGAGTAGATTGCAAAAATTTTCTCCCATTTTGTAGGTTGCCTATTCATGCTGATGGTAGTTTCTTTTCCTGTGCAGAAGCTCTTTAGTTTAATTAGATCCCATTTGTCAATTTTGGCTTTTGTTGCCATTGCTTTTGGTGTTTTAGACATGAAGTCCTTGCCCATGCCTCTGTTCTGAATGGTATTGCCTAGGTTTTCTTCTAGGGTTTTTATGGTTTTAGGTCTAACATGTAAGTCTTTAATGCATCTTGAATTAATTTTTGTATAAGGTGTAAGGAAGGGATCCATTTTCAGCTTTCTACATGGCTAGCCAGTTTTCCCAGCACCATTTATTAAATAGGGAAACGTTTCCCCATTGCTTGTTTTTGTCAGGTTTGTAAAAGATGAGATGGTTGTAGATATGTGGCATTATTTCTGAGGATTCTGTTCTGTTCCATTGGTCTATATCTCTGTTTTGGTACCAGTACCATGCTCTTTCCGTTACTGTAGCCTTGTAGTATAGTTTGAAGTCAGGTAGCCTGATGCCTCCAGCTTTGTTCTTTTGGCTTAGGATTGACTTGGAAATGTGGGCTCTTTTTTGGTTCCATATGAACTTTAAAGTAGTTTTTTCCAATTCTGTGAATAAAGTCATTGGTAGCTTGATGGGGATGGCATTGAATCTATAAATTACCTTGAGCAGTGTGGCCATTTTCACGATATTGATTCTTCCTACCCATGAGCATGGAATGTTCTTCTATTTGCTTGTATCCTCCTTTATTTCATTGAGCAGTGGTTTGTAGTTCTCCTTGAAGAGGTCCTTCACATCCCTTGTAAGTTGGATTCCTAGGTATTTCATTCTCTTTGAAGCAATTGTGAATGGGAGTTCACTCATAATTTGACTCTGTCTGTTATTGGTGTATAAGAATGCCTGTGATTTTTGCACATTGATTTTGTATCCTGAGACTTTGCTGAAGTTGCTTATCAGCTTCAGGAGATTTTGGGCTGAGACGATGGGCTTTTCTAGATATACAATCATGTCATCTGCAAACAGGGACAATTTGACTTCCTCTTTTCCTAATTGAATACCCTTTATTTCCTTCTCCTGCCTAATTGCCCTGGCCAGAACTTCCAACACTATGTTGAATAGGAGTGGTGAGAGAGGGCATCCCTGTCTTGTGCCAGTTTTCAAAGGGAATGCTTCCAGTTTTTGCCATTCAGTATGATATTGGCTGTGGGTTTGTCATAGATAGCTCTTATTATTTTGAAATACATCCCATCAATACCTAATTTATTGAGAGTTTTTAGCATGAAGCATTGTTGAATTTTGTCAAAGGCCTTTTCTGCATCTATTGAGATAATCATGTGGTTTTTGTTGTTGGTTCTGTTTATTAGCTGGTTTACATTTATTGATTTGTGCATGTTGAACCAGCCTTGCATCCCAGGGAAGAAGCCCACTTGATCATGGTGGATAAGCTTTTTGATGTGCCATTGGATTAGGTTTGCCAGTATTTTATTGAGGATTTTGGCATCGATGTTCATCAGGGATATTGGTCTAAAATTATCTTTTTTTGTTCTGTCTCTGCCAGGCTTTGGTATCAGGATGATCCTGGCCTCATAAAATGAGTTAGGGAGGATTCCCTCTTTTTTCTATTGATTGGAATAGTTTCAGAAGGAATGGTACCAGCTCCTCCTTGTACCTCTGGTAGAATTCAGCTGTGAATCATCTGGTCCTGGACTTTTTTTGGTTGGTAAGCTATTAATTATTGCCTCAATTTCAGAGCCTGTTATTGGTCTATGCAGGGATTCAAATTCTTCCTGGTTTAGTCTTGGGAGAGTGTATGTGTCAAGGAATTTATCCATTTCTTCTAGATTTTCTAGTTTATTTGCATAGAGGTGTTTATAGTATTCTCTCATGGTAGTTTGTATTTCTGTGGGATCGGTGGTGATATCCCCTTTATCATTTTTTATTGCATCTACTTGATTCTTCTCTCTTTTCTTCTTTATTAGTCTTGCTAGAGGTCTATCAATTTTGTTGATCTTTTCCAAAAACCAGCTCCTGGATTCATTGACTTTTTGAAGGGTTTTTTGTGTCTCTATTTCCTTCAGTTCTGCTCTGATCTTAGTTATTTCTTGCCTTCTGCTAGCTTTTGAATGTGTTTGCTCTTGCTTCTCTAGTTCTTTTGATTGTGATGTTACGGTGTCAATTTTAGATCTTTCCTGCTTTCTCTTGTGGGCATTTAGTGCTATAAATTTCCCTCTACACACTGCTTTGAATGTGTCCCAGAGATTCTGATATGTTGTGTCTTTGTTCTCACTGGTTTCAAAGAACATCTTTATTTCTGCCTTCATTTTGTTATGTACCCAGTAGTCATTCAGGAGTAGGTCGTTCAGTTTCCCTGTAGTGGAGTGGTTTTGAGTGAGTTTCTTAATCCTAAGTTCTAGTTTGATTTCACTGTGGTCTGAGAGACAGTTTGTTATAATTTCTGCTCTTTTGCATTTGCTGAGGAGTGCTGTACTTCCACCTATGTGGTCAATTTTGGAATAAGTGCGGTGTGGTGCTGAGAAGAATGTATATTCTGTTGATTTGGGGTGGAGAGTTCTGTAGATGTCTATTAGGTCCGCCTGGTGTAGAACTGAGTTCTATTCCTGGATATCCTTGTTAACTTTCTGTCTCATTGATCTGTCTAATGTTGACAGTGGGGTGTTAAAGTCTCCCATTATTATTGTGTGGGAGTCTAAATCTCTTTGTAGGTCTCTAAGGACTTGCTTTATGTATCTGGGTGCTCCTGCATTGGGTGTATATATATTTAGGATAGTTAGCTCTTCTTGTTGAACTGATCTCTTTACCATTATATAATGGCCTTCTTTGTTTCTTTTGACCTTTGTTGGTTTAAAGTCTGTTTTATCAGAGACTATAAAACAGTGTTGCATTTCAACAAATGTTTTATCTGCACCAACTGAAGTCATGATGTGATTTTCTCCCCTTTGTTCTGTTAATGTGGTGATTACATAGATTAATTTTTATATGTTGAACCATCCTTGCACTCCAGAATGTATATTTCTGATAATATGATCTATAATCCTCATAACATGTTGTTGAATTTAGTTTGATAGTATTTGTTGAAGATTTTTGCATTAATGTTCATAAAATGTAAAGTCTGTAGTTTTATTTTCTTATACTGCCTTTGACTGACTTTGGTTATCAAAGTAATTCTGGTCTCATAAAATGACTTTGAAAGTTTTACCTTCTAATATTCTGAAAAAGATTGAGGATTAGCATTAGTCCTTATTTAAATGTTTGGTAGAATTCACTAGTGAAGCCATTAGGTTCGGGGTAATTTTGTATGTGTGGAGATTTTTGATTACTGATTTAATTTCCTTACTGGTTATAGATTTATTTAGATTTTCTATCTCTTCATAATTTACTGATGGTAGGTTTTATAAATCTAGAATTTTTTAAATTTCATCTAGGTTATCCATTTTGGGGACACAGAATTGTTTATAGTACTCTAATAATCAATGTTATTTTGTCTTAGAATTAGTAGACTAGTAATGCTTCCACTTTCATTTCTGATTTTAGTAATTTGAATCTTCTCTCTTCTTAGTTCATCTAGCTAAATATTTGTAAATTTTGACTTTTTAAAAAATCTTTTGATTTTCTTGATTTTCTTTATTGTTTTCTAGCCTCTATTTCATTTATGTCTGCTCTAATACATATGATATCCTTTCTACTGCAAGCATGGATTTAGTATGCTCTTCTTTTTCTAGTTTCTTAAGTTGTAAAAATTAGGTTAAGTAAAATCAAGGT
Organism: Homo sapiens; assembly: GCF_000001405.40. NCBI lineage: Eukaryota > Metazoa > Chordata > Mammalia > Primates > Hominidae > Homo > Homo sapiens. Next base: position 41,740,212 of record NC_000011.10, on the reverse strand, counting down.
CTTTCTTTTTCATAATATAAGCATTTATAGCTAAAAATTCCCCACTAGCACTGCTTTTTTATGTGTGATATGCTTTTGTACGTTATGTTTTCATTTTCTTTCATCTCAAGTATATTCCACTTTCTCTTTTGATTTCTTATTGATCCATTGGATGTCTAAGAGTGTGTTGTTTAATCTCTGTAAATTTGTACATTTTCCACTTTACTTTTGTTATTGATTTTTTAACTTCATCCTGCTATGGTTGAAAACAATATTTTATATAATTTCTGTCTTATTTAATCTATTGTGATTTGACTTTTGGATTAACATATGGTCTATCCTGGGAAATTTCCCAAATGCGTTTGAGAAAAATATGTACAAAAGCCTACTCCTTTGTGAGAAAATACTTCCCAAGACCTCCAGTGGATGTCTGAAACTGTGCACAGATAGTACCAAACCCTTTATATTTGATATGGTTTGGCTCTGTGTCCCCACTCAAATCTCATGTTGAATTGTAATCCCAGTGTTGGAGGAGGGGCCTGGTGGGAGGTGATTGGATCATGTGGTCAGTTTCTAATAGTTTAGCATGATCCCTCTAGTGCTGTCTTGTGATAGATTTCTGACAAGATCTGATTGCTGTAAAGTGTGTGGCACATTCCCCTTCCCTCTCTCTTGTCAGCCATGTAGAAAGCATGGCTGCTTCTCCTTCCCCTTCCACCATCATTGTAAGTTTCCTGAGACCTCCTCAAAAGTAGATGCTTGTACAGCCCTCAAAACTGTGAGTCAATTAATCCCCTGTCCTCTATAAATTACCCAGTCTCAGGTATGTATTTATAACATTGTGAGAATGTAACTTCTCTAGTACAAAAAATTTGTACTAGAGAAGTGGGGCATTGCTACAAAGATACCTGAAAATGTGGAAGCAACTTTGGAACTGGGTAATGAGCAGAGGTTGGAACAGTTTGGAGGAATCAGAAGAAGACAGGAAAATGAGGGAAAGTTTGGAACTTCCTGGAAACTTGTTGAATGGTTGTGACCAAAATGCTAATAGTGATATGAACAGTAATGTCCAGGTTGAGGAGGTCTCAAATAGAGATGAGAAACTTATTGGGAACTAGAGTAAAGGTCATTCTTTCTATGCTTTAGCAAAGAGACTGGCAGCATTGTGCTCCTGCTCTAGAAATCTGTGAAACTTTGAACTTGAGAGAGATAATTTAGGGTATCTGGCAGAAGAAATGTATAAGGAGCAAAGTGTTAAAGATGTGGCCTGACTGCTTCTAAGAGTGAATGCTCATATTTATAAGTAAAAAGATAATCAGAAACTAGAAGTTATATTTAAAAGTGACACAGAGGATAAGAGTTTAGAAAATTTGCAGCCTGGCCATGTGGGAGGAAAGAGAAACCCATTTTCTTTTAGAGAATTCAAGCTGACTGCAGAAATTTGCAAAAGTAAAAAGCAGTCAAATGTTAATAGCCAAGACAATGGAAAAAAATACCTCCGGAACATTTCAGAGACCTGCATGACAGCCTCTCCAATCACAGGCCTGGAGGCATAGGAGGGAAAAATGATTTCGTGGACCAGGTCCAGGGCCCCGCTGCTATGTGCAGCCTGGGGACATGATGCCCTGCATCCCAGCTATTCCAGCTTCAGCTGTGGCTAAAAGGGCCCCAGAAATGTCTCAGGCTTCTGCTCCAGAGGGTGCAAGCCATAAGAAGCCTTGATGGCTTCCACATGTTGTTAAGCCTGCAGGTGCACAGAGGGCAAAAGTTGAGGCTTGGGAGCCTCCACCAAGATTTCAGAAGATGTATGGAAATGCCTGGATGATCCCGGAGAAGTCTGCTGCAGAGGCAGAGCTCTCATGGAGAATCCCTACTAGGACAGCATAGAGGGAAAATGTGGAGTTGGAGCTCCCACACAGAGTCCCTCTTGGGGCACTGCCTAGTGAAGCTGTGAGAAGAGGGCCAACATCCTCCAGACCACAGAATGGTAGGTCCACTGACAGCTTGCATCATGCACCTTGAAAATCTGCAAGTACTCAATGCTAGCCAGTGAAAGCAGCTATGGGGGCTGTAACCTGCAGAGCCAAAGGAGTGGAGCTCCTCAATGCTTGGAAGCCCATCTTTTGCATCAGTACATCCTGGATTTGAGAGATGGAGTCAAAGGAGAGTATTTTGCAGCTTTAAAATATAATAACTTCCCTGCTGGATTTTGGATTTCTGTGGGGCCTCTATCCCCTTTGTTTTGGCCAATTTCTCCCATTTGGAATTGGAGCATTTACCCAATGCCTGTACCCTCATGATATCTTGGAACCAACTAACTTATTTTTTATTTTACAGGCTCATAGGCAGAAGGGATTTATCTTGTCTCAGATGAGACTTTGGACTTGGACTTTTATGTTAATGCTGGAATGAGTTAAGACTTTAGGAGACTGTTGGGAAGGCATGATTGATTTTGAAATGTGAGAAGGACATGAGACTTGGGAGGGGTCAGGGGTGGAATAATATAGTTTGGGTCTCTGTCCTCACCCAAGTTTCATGTTGAGTTGTAATACCTAGTGTTGGAGGTGGAGCCTGGTGGGAGGTAAGCAGATCATGGAGTTTGTTTCTAATGGTTTAGCACCATCCCCCTAGTCCTGTCTTGTTATAGAGTTCTCATGAGATCTGGTTATTTAAAAGTGTTAAAAGTGTGTGGTACCTTTCCCTTCACTCTCTCTCTCTCCTGCCATCATGAGAAGATTCTTGCTTCCCCTTCACCTTCTGTCATGATTGTAAGTTTCCTGAGGCTTCCTTTTAAGCCTGCAGAACTGTGAGTCATCAAACCCTGTTTTTTTCATAAATTACCCAGTCTCAGGTAGTTTATAGCAATGTGAAAATGGACTAATAGAGAACAAAACAGTAGCTCTTTCTAAAATAATTTAACAGGGATTAACTTTTTGAATATGAATACCTCGTAACAAGTAAATAGTCATATATATATATAATTATTAAATAAAATCACTTGAATAAAAAATGCAAGGGTTATGAAAAGACTATTCATAGAGAAGAATGCTGAAATGTTATTTTAGTTTGATTGTACTGCTACAACAAAATACCTGAGGCTGGGTAATGTATAAAGAACAGAAATTAATTTTCTCAAATTCCTGGAGTCTTGGAAGGCCAATATCACAGCACCAGAAGAATTGGTGTCTGGTGAGGAAAACTTCTTGCAGTTTCCACACATGGTGAGAGGGATGGAGGGGCAAAAAAGGGCAAGCTAGTTCCCTGGAACCCTATTAGAAGGAGCACTGATCTATTTATGAAGGTGGAAGCTCTCATGATCTAATCACCTCCTAGAGTACCAAATTCTTAATACTATTGAACTGGGGATTAAATTTTAACATGAAATTTCAGGGGCACTGATATAGTTTGAATGTGTGTCTCCACCCAAATCTCATATTGAAATGTAATCCCCAGTGTTGGAAGTGGGGCCTGGTGAGAAATGATTGGATTCTGGGGGCAGATTTCTCATGAATGGTTTAGCAGCATCCCTCTTGGTACTCTCCTAATGATAATGTGTTATTGTGAGACCTGCTCATTTAAAAATGTGTAGCAACCCCTACCTTTCTCTCTCTTGCTCCTGCTCTGGCCGTGTGATGTGCCTGCTGCCCTTTCATCCTCCATCATGACTGTAAGTTTCCTGAGGCCTCCCCAGAAGCCAAGTGGATGCCAGCATCATGCTTCTTGTATAGACTGCAGAACTATGAGCCAATTAAATCTCTTTTATTTATAAATTACCCAGTCTCAGGTATTTATTTATAGCAATGTGAGAACAAACTAACACAGACACACTCAAAATATAGCATTCATTAAACATATGAAAAATTGTTCAACTTCACTAGTCTAGGAATTATAAACATAAGACAAACATAAATGAAATATACAAAATGACCCATTATTTTATATCCATTAGCTAAGCAAAAACAAAAGTTGACAGTAGAATGTATTTTTTGTTTTCATTTTTGTTTTGAGATAGAGTCTCGGTCTTTCGCCCAGGCTGGATTGGCATCTCAGCTCACTGCAACCTCTTCTTGGGTTCAAGCTATTCTCCTGCCTAAGCCTCCCACATAATCACAAAACTTAATTAAACTGGTAATTTGTAAACTCTATGAATGGCAATTGTACTTGATTACATAGTGTAGAAATTTTCTAACACATACAATATTTCTGTCTCAGGATATTTGGGGCAGCTTTGTGTTAATAGTGATATACTAAAAATGGCCAAGTGGCTAAGTACTGGGAGAATGGAAAAATAAAATGTGATATATTTGTATAATTCAATACTTCATATCAATTAAAAGGAATGAACTAGACTTCTTTTGAGTCATAGGTGGACTCAAAAACATAAATGTTGAGAAAAATAGGTAATTTAAAGAATGAGACATAATATAATGTATATGTGAATTTAAAGATAATACTAGACACAAATCTACATAAATAGGTTTGTCTATTTACCTATCATATATATGTAAATTTAAAGATAATACTATATACAAATCTATATAAATGGATTTGTCTATTTATTTACCTATCAGGAATCTTTATGCATTCATCAATCTATTCATCTTTCAATCAACCCATTGCTATATTCATGTATCTAAAATATTTTTAAATGGGCTAGAATAACACACATTGAATTTATGAACATAGTTGCTTGGGGATGGGGATGCAGTTTGCTGAGATGGAACTGGAAAGTAAATTCAACTTCATTTGTAATGTATACGCTTTTTTGCTTAAAAAATAGACAAAGCAAATTTCACAAAATACTATTATCTATTTTAGGTGGTACATAGAGTTACATGCTATGCCTTCCATGCTATTTTTTATTTTGATCTTCTAACTTATATGAAAATACTCCAAATGAAATAATTTAACATAGGTAATGATGAATTTTCAGCCCTTTAAACCTGAATATATCTTTATTGACTAGAGCAGTCAATATGGTCATCTGTGTGCAACATCTGTAATGTGCTGAGAAAAAATTCATAAGGGAATGAAATTGGCATTTTTCCAGAGTACCCAGATCTATGCAAACCTTGCCCTGTTATTTACTTCTGCTGTGAGAGAATTGATTCCCAGAGATGAAGTAACTACAGAAAATCAGAAATAAAGGAGGGCCCAAGAGACTGTCCTAAAAGAGCCTTTCATTGGAGTGATGAAGAAACTGAGGTTCATGTGGAAGAAGCAACTTGGCAAAAATTATACATTCTCATTATTGGCAGTAAGTTTTCTTGACTTCTAATTGTGCACACTATGTAGAATTACAGGTGCTCCTTATGGGAACCCAAATTATTTTTTCCTGTTTCAGTGACATTTGCTTCTGGGTAAAAGCAATGAAGTCAGAAGCAATACCAACTAGTCATTCCTGTAATCTGCCCTGAGCCAAGTAGCAGAGGTAGAGCACATTAGACAGTGACTTACCCCCAGGTCTAGGTTGCCATCTCTCAGTTGTCCGGTCAACTCATGGGAGCCCCCGCGTTCCTATGTCCCCATTCCAGCTGTGCTTCCTGTGCCTTTGGCTTCACTCTGATTTCAGGAAGACAAAAAGAGGGTAAACTTCCTTCTTGAAAGTTGCAATTTTGCAGCTTGCAGGCTAGAAAGGTTCTTCTTAATAAAGGTTAGAATTAATTAAAAGAGAAGGTCAAAAGGGTTTAACTACCTAGTGCTCTGGAAGAACTACAGGTCACACATGAGTGACTGTTATTGATTAAGCATTTTGATTGCCTGCTCAGATAATCAATACCAAAGAGTTAGACTCTTCAAAATATTAAACAAAATGAAGACAAGGATTTTAGCTTGGAGCCTGAATTTTTAATGTTTCAATAAATTTGGGAGGAAATTTCTGTGCATCCAGGTGAGTTGCAGTGGAATAAGGAAAGGTGGAATGATGGATTATTGAGCTGCTTGGAAAGCAATAGTTGCTGCCTGTGGCTCTTGTAATTCACTCTGGAAAGATGCGTCTTGAGGCTTGTGGTAAGAGTAGATCAGATTTAATGAGTATATTTTTCAGTATCAGAAAGTAAGGGATATTTTTCTTTCAATTAAGGACAGAAAAAGCAACTCCTTATTGGAGAATCTATTTCAAATGTTAAAGGAAAGTGGTGACAATTTGTTGTTTTCATTGTATAACTGAAAATAGCCAAACAGTACAAAAGCAAGACTTTCAAGATATCTAAAAGAGAGGCCGTGGCAGAACTAAAGGATCATGCCATTTCTTCCCCTAGAGGCAAGAACTAGTGTTAATATGATACTTAGTAGGGACCAGGAAATGCTGATTCACTTGATTCCCATAATAAGCCTCTAAGGCAGATATTAATGTTATCCTCGTTATATAGATTATATCATTATATAGATGCCTAATGTCACTCAGGTGTTAATAGCATAGCTATTATCTGAATTGAGGAAGTCTGTATTCCCTATCACCAGAATAAAATTTTTCAAACATAAACATATATTGAAATTATGTGGAGAACTTGTTAAAACAGACTGCTGGGTCCCACTTCTAGAGTTTCTGATTTAGTAGGTCTTGAGTCAGATCCAAGAATTTGAAATCTAACAAGATCCAAAGTAATGCAGATAAGGCTGGCCTACGACCCTACTGCCTTTCGTTATTGCACATAATAGCCCTTGGTATGTCACTACTTTCCTACCTAGGATTCTGCAGCACTCATGCTGCAAATGGCACAGCACAAGTGTGATTATTAGACTGTCAGTTCCTCAGGGTCATAATTAATCACCCAACCATAACACCACAGATATGTCAAATTTTTTGATCAATAGACTAGGTAAAAAAAAATACAAGTGCACTAATGAAAGGTTAAGTAAGTGTACCGTGTATTTTATTATGTTTTAGGTTTAGATATGACACACATTATAACTAAGGCAAATCATTTGTGAGTTGAGTTATGAATATAGCTGTGTGCATTTTATATCATTTGATGCTAGTGGCCCTATTCCCAATTATTTGGTGATGGTTCATCATGTATATTTTTATACCCCTAAGCTGTTTCTTTTGACTAGAAAACTCCCTCATTTCTTACTAACAAATAGACATAATACTCACCCTTCAAGGTCCCACTCACTCTCTACTGTAAAGTGTGAAGTTTCCTAGTTTAAAAAGAATGTGAAATGATAGATCACTGTTCCCTGAACTAGATTATAGCAAAAACAGGCTGAACTCCAAGTCAGTAGCTTGAAATCATCAAAACATGAGCTTTGTTAATTCTTCTTGTCATATCAAGATGTATTCATCTCTATTATTGTCCTTTTCCTATATTTACTAACTTTTCCATTGACCTTAGGCAATGAGTAGCTTGAGTTTAAGAACCAGAATAAAGGAAATAAATGCATAACTGAGGTCTTGACTTTTGTGAGATTCTAGGAAACAGGCTATATCAGCTTATCAAAGTACTCTAAATTTTCATGAAGTAATTTTCCAGAATTTCAACTAATAGAAGGGCCTCACAGTCTTTGAAGTAAAAGACTTGAAAATGATATTCAGTCTAGCAAAATTAAGGCCCTTGAAATGCATAAAACCCAACCATTCTTTAGTAGAGTTTGCTTTATCCTGGAATTCTCCATGACCCCATTCTTATATCCTTACAGAAGCACCACTTAGCTTTGGAAGTTAAAATCAAATAAACATGAGGGCAACTTCTCAGTCTTATGCAAAAAGCAATGAATACTGACAATCTTGCGGTTTGACTCTTATTCAGACAATGTAGGGAAAAGTGAATTCCTCAAGATCTTTCTTCCTTCTTTCTAAGGCACCTACGATGCTTTGGTGTTGATAGAACTTAGGGTCAAAATCAGAAAGAAATTAGCCACCCCATACTGTCTGGAATGCAAGTTAGTCTTCCTTGTGTTTTGCAGTTAAAAAGGGAATTAGTAATGAAATACTTGAAATTCAGAGAGCATGAGGCACCATAGAATTGGTACCTGTTATGATAAGTACTAACCACGTGAACACAAAATATGGGTTTTACAGGAGACACTTGAAGCTTCAAGTTCTTGAGAAATCAGAGAAGTGGCAGATCCAAGAAGCCAAGTTAGGTCTCAGATTCCAGATTCTATGCATATAGATCTCCTTATCGGATGCTTCACATTGCCTGACTTCAAAATATTCTACAAAACTGTAGACAAAAAACAGCATGGCATTGCTATAAACACAGACACATAGATAAATGGAACAGAACAGAATATCCAGAAATAAATCTACATATTTATAGCCAACTGGTTTTCAGCAAAAGAGCATATATTAAAGAAAGGACACCATCTTCAATAAATGGTGCTCTGAAAACTGGATATTCATATGCACAAAAATACAGCTAGACCCCTATCATTTGCCATTTAGAAAAAATCAAATCAAAGGGGATTAATGACTTAAATGTGAGACCCCAAACTATAAAACTACTAGAATAAAACATAGGCGAAACACTTCAGGACATTGGTCTAGGAAAAATTTTATAGGTAAGACTTCAAAAGCTTAGACAACAAAAACAAAAATAGACAAGTGGGATTAATAGTAAATGAAAAAGCTTCTGCACAGCAAAAGAAACAACCAACAAAGTGGAGAAACAACCTGTAAAATGGGAGAAAATATTTGCATACTATTTATCCAATAAGTGACTAATATCCAGAATATATGAGGAACTCAAATAACTCATCAGCAAAAAAACAAATAATTTGACTGAAAATGGACATAGGATTTCTCAAAGGGAGACATAAATGGCCAATATGTCTATCAAAAAATGTTCAACATCTGTAATCATCAGAAAAATGCAAATCAAAACCATAGTGACATGTCATCTTACTCCAGTTAGAAGGGCTGTCATCAAAAATACAAAAAAAAAAAAAAAGCAAGCACTGGTGAGGATGTGAAGGAAAGGAAACTTTTATACACTGTAGTTGGGAATGTAAATTAGTGCAGCTACTTTGGAAAACAGTGTGGAGGTCTCACAGAACACTAAAAATAAAACTACCATAGTATCCAGCGATCCTGCCACTGGGTATTCATTCAAAGAAAGGAAATCACTATATTAAAGGGATACCTGCACCGCCACGTTTATCACAGCACTATACACAATAGCCAAGATTAAGAATCAACCTAAATATTAATCAACAGATGAACAGACGAAGAAAATGTGGTATGTATCATGAAAGGAAAATAAATCTTGGGGCCCCGAAATCACTAAGCTAAAGAGAGTAGTCAAGCTGGGAATTGCTTAAGGCAAACATGTCTCCTGTTCAAAGTTACCCTTCTCCTTACTGAGATAAATGCATATCTGATTGCCTCATTTGGAGAGGCTAATCAGAAACTCAAAAGAATGAAACCGTATGTCTCCCTATGACCTGGAAAGCCCCTTCCAACTTAGAGGCATCCCGCCTTCATCTTGAGTTGTCTCACCTTTCCAACTGAACCAATGTACATCTTACACATATTGATTGATGTCTTATGTCTTCCTAAAATGTTTAAAACCAAGCTGTGCCCCTACCACATTGGGCACATGTCATCAGGACCTCCTGAGGCTGTGTCACAGGTGCAGGTCCTCAATCTTGGCAAAATACTTTCTAAATTAACCGAGACCTGACTCAGATTTTCAGGGTTCACAATATGCACAATGGAATAGTATTCAGCCATTTAAAAAAAAAAACAATGAAATTCTGTCATTTACAGCAACATAATGAGCCTGGAGGACATTATGTTAAGTGAAGTACATCTGGCTCAGTAAGATAAATACCACATGTTCTCACTCCTATGTGGGAGCTGAGAAAAAAAAAAAGGTGAACTTACAGAAGTAGAATGAAGAATTGTGGTTATTCGAGGCTGGTAAATTCAGGGGGAAAAAAACATAGAAAGATGCTTTTTAATAGATACAAAGTTACAGCTCAGTGGGAGGAATAAATCTTAGTGTCTTGTAGTGCTGTACGATGATTATATTCAATAATAATTTAGTGTATATTTTCTTTTTTTGAGACAGTTTCACTCTTGTTGCCCAGGCTGGAGTGTGGTGGCAAAATCTCAGCTCACTGCAACCTCCACCTTCCGGTTTCAAGTGGTTCTCCTGCCTCAACCTTCCAAGTAGCTGGGATTACAGGTGCTCATCATCATGCCCAGCTAATTTTTGTATTTTTAGTAGTGATGGGGTTTCTCCATGTTGGCCAGGCTGGTCTCGAACTCCTGACCTCGTGATCTACCCACCTCGGCCTCCCAAAGTGCTGGGATTACAGGTGTGAGCCACCGCAGCCGGCCTAGTGTATATTTGCAAAAAGTTAAAAGAGGATTTTGAGTGTTCACAACACAAAGAAGTGATAAATATTTAAATGATAGATATGCTAATTACCCTAATTTGATCATTAGTGTACACATGTATAGAAATATCACTCTATTCCATATATATGTACAATTATTAGAAGTCATTTGAAAATAATATAAAAAATTATGTAAAAAAAGTAATGAAAAGCAACACGAGCAAAAACAGAATGAAACTCTACAGCAAAAATCATGCACATTGTGTTGTGCACACTATATTAATCTCAGAGTATTACTAATGTTTTTAAAGATGGCCTTTTTTAGTCCATTTTTATGCTGCTGATAGACATACCCAAAACTGGGAAAAAAAATAGATTTAATGGACTTACAGTTTCGTGTGGCTAGGGAGGCCTCACAATCATGGTGGAAGAGAAAGGATCTTCTTACATGGCAGCAGCAAGAGGGAATGAAGCAGCAGTGAAAGTGGAAACCCCCTTAATAAAACCATCAGGAGGTATGTTCCAAGATGGCCAAACAGGAACAGCTCTGGTCTGCAGCTCCCAGTGTGATCGTCGCAGAAGACAGGTGATTTCTGCATTTCCAACTGAGGTATGTGGTTCATCTCACTGGGACTGGTTGGGCAGTGGGTACAGCCCACGGAGGGTGAGCAGAAGCATGGCAGGGCATTGCCTAACCCAGGAAGTGCAAGGGGTCGGGGGATTTTTCTTTCTTAGCCAAGGGAAGCCATGACAGGCCGTACCTGGAAAAGCGGGACACTTCCACTCAAATACTGTGCTTTTCCCAAGGTCTTAGGAACTGGCAGACAAGGAGATTCTCTCCTGTGCCTGGCTTGGCAGGTCCCATGCCCATGGAGCCTTGCTCACTGCTAGCGCAGCAGTCTGAGATGGAACTGTGAGGTGGCAGCCCAGCTTGGGGAGGGGTGCCCACCATTGCTGAGGCTCGAGTACATAAATAAAGCTGCCACGAAGCTCAAACTGGCAGAGCCCACTGCAGCTTAGCAAGGCTTACTGCCTCGATAGACTCCACCTCTGTGGGCAGGGCATAGCTGAACAAAAGGCAGCAGAAAACTTCTGCAGACTTAAACGGCCCTGTCTGACAGCTCTAGAGAGAGCAGTGATTCTCCCAGCATGGCGTTTGAGCTCTGAGAACAGACAGACTGCCTCCTCAAGTGGGTCCCTGACCCCCATGTAGCCTAACTGGGAGGTACCTCCCAGTAGTGGCCAACAGACACTTCATATAGGTGGGTGCCCCTTAGGGACAAAGCTTCTGGAGGAAGTGAGAGGTGACAGTGTGCTGGCAGCCCTTGCAGCCCTCGCTCACTCTCGGTGCCTCCTCGGCCTCAGTGTCCACTCTGGCCGTGCTTGAGGAGCCCTTCAGCCTGCTGCTGCACTGTGGGAGCCCTTCTCTGGGCTGGCCAAGGTCAGAGCCAGCTCCCTCGGCTTGCAGGGAGGTGTGGAGGGAGAGGCATGGGTGGGAACCAGGGCTGTGTACTGCACTTGCTGGCCAGCTAGAGTTCCGGGTGGGTGTGGGCTTGGCGGGCCCCACACTTGGAGTGGCCAGCTGGCCCTGCTGGCCCCAGGCAGTGAGGGGCTTAGCACCCAGGCCAGCAGCTGCAGAGGGTGCGCCAGGTCCCCCAGCAGGGCACTGCACTTGATTTCTCGCTGGGCCTTAGCTGCCTCCCTGTGGGGCAGGGCTCGGGACCTGCAGCTCCCCATGCCTGAGTCTCCCCATCCCCAAAGCTATGGGCTCCTGTGCAGCCTGAGCCTCCCCAATGAGCACCATCCTCTGCTCCATGGCACCCAGTCCCATCGACCGCCCAAGGGCTGAGGAATGTGGGCACACTGCGCGGGACTGGCAGGCAGCTCCACCTGCAGCCCTGGTGCAAGATCCAATGGGTGAGTCCAGCTGGGCTCCTGAGTCTAGTGGGGACATGGAGAACCTTTGTGCCTAGCTAAGGGATTGTGTGTGCACCAATCAGCACTCTGTGTCTAGCTCAAGGTTTGTGAACACACTAATCAGCACCCTGTGTCTAGCTCAGGGTTTGTGGATGCACCAATCAGCACTCTGTATCTAGCTAATCTGGTGGGGACTTGGAGAATCTTTATGTCTAGTTAAGGGACTGTGAATGCACCAATCAGCACTCTGTATCTAGCTTAAGGTTTGTAAATGCACCGATCAGCATTCTGTGTCTAGCTCAGGGTTTGTAAATACACCAATTGACACTCTGTATCTAGCTAATCTAGTGGGGACATGGAGAACTTTTGTGTCTAGCTCAGGATTGTAAATGCACCAATCAGCGCCCTGTCAAAATGGACCAATCAGCTCTCTGTAAAACAGACCAATCGGCTCTCTGTAAAATGGACCAATCAGCAGGATGTGGGTGGGGACAGATAAGAGAATAAAAGCAGGCTGCCTGAGCCAGCAGTGGCAACTTGCTCAGGTCCCCTTCCACACTGTGGAAGCTTTGTTCTTTCGCTCTTTGCAATAAATCTTACTACTGCTCACTCTTTGGGTCCACACTGCCTTTATGAGCTGTAACAGTGACTGCGAAGGTTTGCAGCTTCACTCCTGAAGCCAGCGAGACCACAAACCCACTGGGAGGAATGAATGACCCCAGACGCAACACCTTAAGAGCTATAACACTCACCGCAAAGGTTTGCAGCTTCACTCCTGAGCCAGCAAGACCACAAACCCACCATAAAGAAGAAACTCCAAACACATCCAAACATCAGAAGGAACAAACTCTGGACATGCCACCTTTAAGAACTGTAACACTCACCGCGAGAGTCCGCGGCTTCATTCTTGAAGTCAGTGAGACCAAGAACCCACCAATTCTGGACACAGAAGGATCACGCAGCAATATTTGTTGTTCTGCAGCCTCCACTGGTGATACCCAGGAAAACAGGGTCTGCAGTGGACCTCAACAAAAAGGACATCTACAACAAAACTCCATCTGTAGGTCACCAACATCAAAGACCAAAGGTAGATAAAACCACAGAGATGGGGAGAAACCAGAGCAGAAAAGCTGAAAATTCTAAACACCAGAGCTCTCTTCTCCTCCAAAGGATTGCAGCCCCTTGCCCACAATGGAACAAAGCTGGATGGAGAATGACTTTGATGAGTTGACGGAAGTAGGCTTCAGAAGGTAGGTAATAACAGACTTTTCCGAGCTAAAGGAGCATGTTTTAAGCCATCAAAAGGAAGCTAAAAACTTTGAAAAAGGTTAGACAAATGGCTAACTAGAATAAACAGTGTAGAGAAGACCTTAAATGACCTGATGGATGTGAAAACCATGGCATGGGAAGTACATGATACATGCACAAGCTTCAATAGCTGATTTGATCAAGTATAAGAAAGGGTAGCAGTGATTGAAGATCAAATTAATGAAATAAAGTGAGAAGACAAGGTTAGAGAAAAAAGAGTAAAAAGAAACAAACAAAGCCTCCAAGAAATATGGGACTATGTGAAAAGACCAAATCTATGTTTGATAGGTGTACCTGAAAGTGATTGGGAGAATGGAACAAAGTTGGAAAACACACTTCAGGATATTATCCAGGAGAACTTCCCCAACCTAGCAAGGTAGGCCAACACTCAAATTAGGAAATACAAAGAACACCACAAAGATACTCCTTGAGAAGAGCAACTTCAAGACACATAATTATCAGCTTCAACAAGGTTGAAATGAAGGAAAAAATATTAAGAGCAGCCAGAGAGAAAGGTCGGGTTACCCACAAGGGGAAGCCCATCAGACTAACAGTGGATCTCTCCACAGAAACTCTACAGGCCAGAAGACAGTAGGGGCCAATATTCACCATTCTTAAAAAAATAATTTTCAACCCAGAATTTCACATCCAGCCAAACTAAGCTTCATAAGTGAAGGAGAAAGAAAATTCTTTACAGACAAGCAAATGCCGAGAGACTTTGTCACCACCAGGCCTGCCTTACAAGAGCTCCTGAAGGAAGCACTAAACATGGAAAGAAACAACTGGTACCAGCCACTGCAAAAACATGCCAAATTGTAAAGACCATTGATCTTATGAAGAAACTGCATTAATTAACGGGCAAAATAACCAGCTAACATCATAATGACAGGATCAAATTCACACATAACAGTATTAAACTTAAATGTCAATGGGCTAAATGACCCCAATTAAAAGATGTAGACTAGCAAATTGGATAAGGAGTCAAGATCCATCAGTGTGCTGTATACAGGAGACCCATCTCATGTGCAGAGACAAACATAGGCTCAAAATAAAGGGATGGAGGAAGATCTACCAAGCAAATGGAAAAAAAAAAAAAAGCAGGGGTTGCAATCCTAGTCTCTGATAAAACAGACTTTAAACCAACAAAGATCAAAAGAGACAAAGAAGGTCATTACATAATGGTAAAGGGATCAATTCAACAAGAAGAGCTAACTATCCTAAATATATATGCACCCAAAACAGGAGCACCCAGATTGATAAAGCAAGTCCTCAGAGACCTACAAAGTGACTTAGACTCCCACACAGTAATAATGGGAGACTTAACACCCCACTGTCAACATTAGACAGATCAATGAGACAGAAGGTTAACAAGGATATCCAGGACTTGAACTCAGCTCTGCACCAAGCAGACCTAATAGACATCTACAGAACTCTCCACCCCAAATCAATAGAATATACATTCTTCTCAGCACCACATCACACTTATTCTAAAATTGACCACATAATTAGAAGTAAAGCACTCCTCAGCAAATGTAAAACAACAGAAATCACAATAAACTGTCTCTCAGACCACAGTACAATCAAATTAGAACTCAGGATTAAGAAACTCACTCAAAACCACACAACAACATGGAAACTAAACAACCTGCTCCTGAATGACTACTGGGTAAATAACGAAATGAAGGCAGAAATAAAGATGTTCTTTGAAAGCAATGAGAACAAAGACATGATGTACCAGAATCTCTGGGACACATTTAAAGCAGTGTGTAGAGGGAAATTTATAGTACTAAATGCCCACAAGAGAAAGCAGGAAAGATCTAAAATTGACACCTTAACATCACAATTAAAAGAACTAGATGAAGCAAGAGCAAATACATTCAAAAGCTAGCAGAAAGTAAGAAATAACAAAGATCAGAGCAGAACTGAAGGAGTTAGAGACACAAAAAACCCTTCAAAAAATTAATGAATCCAGGAGCTTGTTTTTTGAGATGATCAACAAAATTGATAGACTTCTAGCAAGACAAATAAAGAAGAAAAGAGAGAAGAATCAAATAGACACAATAAAAAATGATAAAGGGGATATCGCCACTGATCCCACAGAAATACGAACTACCATCAGAGAATGCTATAAACACCTCTATACAAATAAACTAGAAAATCTAGAAGAAATGGATAAATTACTAGACACATACACCCTCCCAAGACTAAACCAGGAAGAAGTTGAATCTCTGAATAGAACAATAACAGGCTCTGAAATTGAGGCAATAAGTAATAATCTACCAACCAAAAAAAGACCAGGACCAGATGATTCGCAGCCAAATTCTACCACAGGTACAAAGAGGAACTGGTACCATTCCTTCTGAAACTATTGTAACCAATAGAAAAAGAAGGAATCCTCCGTAACTCATTTTATGAGGCCAGGATTATCCTGATACCAAAGCCTGGCAGAGACACAACAAAAAAAGAGAATTTTAAACCAATATTCCTGATGAACATGGATGTGAAAATCCTCAATAAAATACTGGAAAACTGTATCCAGCAGCACATCAAAAAGCTTATCCACCAAGATCAGGTCGGCTTCATCCCTAGGATGCAAGGCTGGTTCAACATATGCAAATCAATAAATGTAATCCATCACATAAACAGAACCAATGACAAAAACCACTTGATTATCTCAATAGATGCAGAAAAGGCCTTCGACAAAATTTAACATCCCTTCACACTAAAAACTCTCAATAAACCAGGTATTCATGAAACGTATCTCAAAATAATAAGAGCTATTTTTGACAAACCCACAGCCAATATCATACTGAATGGGCAAAAACTGGAAGCATTTCCTTTGAAAACTGGCACACGACAAGGATGCCCTCTCTCACTGTGACTCCTATTCAACATAGTGTTGGAAGTTCTGGCCAGGGCAATCAGGCAAGAGAAAGAAATAAAGGGTATTCAGTTAGGAAAAGAGGAGATCAAATTGTTCCTGTTTGCAGATGACATGACTGTATATTTAAAAAACCCCATCGTCTCGGCCCAAAATCTCCTTAAGCTGATAAGCAACTTCAGCAAAGTCTCAGGATACAAAATCAATGTGCAAAAATCACAAGCATTTCTATACATCAATAACAGACATACAGAGAGCCAAATCATAAGTGACCTCCCATTCACGATTGCTACAAAGTGAATAAAATACCTAGGAATCCAACTTACAATGGATGTGAAGGACCTCTTCAAGAACTACAAACTGCTGCTCAATGAATTAAATGAGGACACAAACAAATGTGAGAACATTCCATGCTCATGGATAGGAAGAGTCAATATGGTGAAAATGGCCATAATGCACAAGGTAATTTATAGATTCAATGCCATCCCTATCAAGATACAAATGACTTTCTTCACAGAATTGGAAAAAAAACTAGTTTAAAGTTCATATGGAACCAAAAAAGAACTCACATTGCCAAGACAATCCTAAGCAAAAAGAACAAAGCTGGAGGCAGCATGCTACCAGACTTCAAACTATACTACAAGGCTATGGTACCCAAAACAGCAGGGTACTGGTACCAAAACAGATATCTATATCTATATATCTATATAGCTATATATAGATATAGAGATATAGATATAGATATAGATATACCAATGGAACAGAACACAGGCCTCAGAAATAACACCACACATCTACAACCATCTGATCTTTGACAAACCTGTCAAAAACAAGAAATGGGTAAAGGATTCCCTATTTAATAAATGGTGCTGGGAAAACTGGCTAGCCATATGTAGAAAGCTGAAACTGGATCCCTTCCTTACATCTTATACAAAAATTAATTCAAGATGGATTAAAGACTTAAATGTTAGATCTAAAACCATAAAAACCCTAGAAGAAAACCTAAGCAATACCATTCATGATATAGTCATGGGCAAGGACTTCATGACTAAAACACCAAAAGCAATGGCAACAAAAGCCAAAATAGACAAATGGGATCTAATTAAACTAAAGAGCTTCTGCACAGCAAAAGAAACTACCATCAGAGTTAACAGGCAACCTACAGAATGGGAGAAAATTTTTGCAACCTACCCATCTGACAAAGGGCTAATATCCAGAATCTACAAAGAACTCAAATTTACAAGAAGAAATCAAACACCCCATCAAAAAGTGGGCAAAGGATATGAACAGACACTTCTCAAAAGAAGACATTTATACAGCCAAGAGACACATGAAAAAATGCTCATCATCACTGGTCATCAGAGGCAAATCAAAACCACAATGAGATACCATCTCATGCCAGTTAGAATGGTGATCATTAAAAAGTCAGGAAACAACAGATGCTAAAGAACATGTGGAGAAATAGGAACACTTTTACACTGTTAGTGGGAGTGTAAATTAGTTCAACCATTGTAGAGACAGTGTGGTGATTTTTCAAGGATCTAGAACTAGAAATACCATTTGACCCAGCCATCCCATTACTGGGTATATACCCAAAGGATTATAAATCATGCTACTTTAAAGACACATGCTCATGTATGTTTATTGCGGCACTATTCACAATAGCAAAGACTTGGACCCAACCCAAATGTCCATCAATGATAGACTGGATTAAGAAAATGTGGCACATATACACCACGGAATACTATGCAGCCATAAAAAAGGATGAGTTCATGTCCTTCGCAGGGACATGGATGAAGCTGGAAACCATCATTCTTAGCAAACAATCATAAAGACAGAAAACCAAACCCTGCATGTTCTCACTCATAGGTGGGAGCTGAACAATGAGAACATTTGGACACCGGGCAGGGAACATCACACACCGAGGTCTGTCAGGGAGTGGGGGGCTGGGAGAGGGATAGCATCAGGAGAAATACCTAATGTAAATGATGAATTGATGGGTGCAGCAAACCAACATGGCATATGTATAGCTATGTATCAAACCTGCACGTTGTGCACATGTACCCTAGAACTTAAAGTATAATAAATAAACAAATAAATAAAATTAAAAAAAATAAAACCATCAGATCTCATGAGACTTATTCATTACCATGAGAATGGGATGAGGGATACCGGCCCCATCATTCAATTATCTCCCACAGGGTCCTTCCCACAACATATGGGAATTATGGGAGTGCCATTCAAGATGAGATTTGCATGGGGACATGGAACCAAACCATATCATGGTCCCTGTACTTAGATAACTTTATGAAAAAGTTATATACAGTAATCTCCAGGGACTTCTCTCTCCTACCTTTACTCATCTATTCAAGAAATGCCCTATCTCTGAATTCCTCTTTTACTCTGTGTGTCTAGAGACACTACTGCATCACTGCCACATGCTCTGCACTGTGGCAGGTTTAGAAAGAGGTGCAGTAATGAAAATGACTGGAACTATAGGGCCACACACTCTTGTGTTTCAATTCTTGATCTGCCACTTTGATTAGCCTTGTGCTAATTACTTCTTCCAGTCAAGCATTCTTTTTCTCAACTGATGTGATGAGGTGGAAAGGTGATAATGTATATCAAAGTGTTTCACAAATATACTAAAAAAAATTGTAGATTCTACTTTAGAGGGGCAACAATAGTTATCACTATCAACCAGAAGAGTGAAATCTCTTTTACATTAAGCATTGTATAAGGATGTAAATAGAGTATTAACAGAGGAGGAAATGAACAACTTCTTTAGGCCAGCTCCCTAGAGGTGGCAATTACCAAGAACAATTAAGCAGAGCTTTCACCTCACTTCCCAGCGAGCTCAGACCCACAGCTGCTCAGTGTCTCTGACATGGATTCTGCTGAGAGGCTTTGGAGAGAAGGGGATTACCTGGCAGATTCCCCACTGGGGATTGGAATATCAAAAACTGCAGCTTTTGCAGATAGTGAGCCACAACTCTCTCTGGTCCTTGCTGAGTGCAGGCAGTTGGCTTTCTTTGCTTCTTATGAATCAAGAGACACTGCATGCTTTCGATCTTTTTAGCATCCTTGGTGAACTCAGGTACTTTAACACCCCAGTTATGGGGTAACCAGCCCATGGAGCTCCATTCCTAAATATAGAAGCCAAAAACTGTGTACCTACTATGTGCCTGGCATGACATATCACAGATGACTTCTGGAATTGTGTATTCTTTTAACATTATAGTGCAAAGTTGACATATTTTGCGTGCTCTCCATATGAGAGACTTTATAACAACATAGCCTACCACTAAAAAATACGCAAGTTCAAATATTTTCTTTCCTCATGCTCTGTAGTAACGCTGTAGGCGCATGAGCTAGGCTTGGCAAATTGGCTATTTCTTACTGCCACTTTGAAGTGGAGCCAGTAGTATAAGGAAACATGAGTAGCATTCAGTAATAGCAGCAAAGATGCGTCAGCATCCATGGTGGCTGTGGCGTCTTGGCTGGTGGTAGCTCCCAGTACTGACAATCTTCTTCCCATGGTGGTGTGACCATCATTGCAGTACCCTGACAACTGGGGAGCTTTCCTTTATTACTGACAGTTCTTCACTTAATAAACTGTCTGTGATGCCTCCAATAAATTACCTTTCTCCCTATGTTAAGCAGGTTTCTATTATTATTGGCAACCAAGATTTATGTAAATATTATGATTGATATTAGAAACCCTAAATTAAAAGAAATAAAAATTATATTCAGAGAAATTTAAAAAATGTTTCTATAGACAGAGCCTGACAACTGAAATATGTAGGTGCTTTCTCTTCTTCCAATTATATTGCATATTTTCACTAAAAATATCTCATAAGTTCGTAGCATTATAAAGCAGAAAGAACCATAAGAACCGCCTTGTACAAAAAGTCCATTTTGAGGTAAGCGTGTGCTGAACTAGACAGGGTGAGTATAGCAAATGCATGGCAAAGCAAACTCTAAAAAATACCAACCTCTTTTTCCCTAACTATGTGCTCTTTCAAATGCAGAATTTGTTTCTTGAATATGAGGGTGAGGAAACACATCTTGATAGAGTGGAATGGTGACGTTGAGCTTGATAGATTGAAAGGTTGACACGGTACTTTTTTTCTGACTGTATAAAAGTCAGTTCTGCTTCAGGCATAATGAGAGATGAACAGGTAAAGAGGTAAAGTAAAGGCAATCTGGAAAGTTTAGACTTTAACACTGTAAGCCAAAAAGAAAATTCTAAGCCCCCCAACTGACTGAAAAGACAATCTCTTGGCCAAGGGGACCATAGAGTAACCTTGAAAGCTGAGTTTTCAGCCATGACTAAACAGGAGTTCCCTATACCCTTCTCACTCATTACCACTAGGCTTTCTTCCCTAAGGGCTTACCAGAAACCAGCCCTTTCAAAAGACTTCATCTGATATTAACCAACAGCCTGATGCTTCCCCTATTTTATGGTTGATAAGAGACCAGGGACTACCCACTGTTCCTGGCCAGTCTTTGGAGAATGCACAGTAAGGGTTTTCCTGTCCTCTGTTTCACCTTTTGATGTCCGAGGGCCCAAACCTTTATCCTCAGATAATGCTGGTGCTACCACAGATTTTGTACAGGAGTCCAGTGAGGGGGCTGTATTTGTCAGGGTTCTCTAGAGGAACAGGACTAATAGGATAGATGTGTATATGAAAGGGAGTTTATTACAGGGAATTGACTCACACCATCACAAGGTGAAGTCCCACAATAGACCTTTCGCAAGCTGAGGAGCAAGGAGGACAGAGTCCCAAAACCTCAAAAGTAGGGATGCTGACAATGCAGCCTTCAATCTGTGGCTGAAGGCCCAAGAGCCCCTAGCAAACCACTGGTGTAAGTCCAAAAGTCCAAAGACTGAAGAATTTGGAGTCCTTTGTTTGAAGGCAGGAAGCATCCAGCATGAGAGAAAGATGGAGGTCAGAAGACTTAGCCAGTCTTCTACCTTACTTTTACCTTCTTATGCCTGCTTTTAGTCTGGCCGTGCTGATAGCTGATTAGATGGTGCTCATCCAGATTGAAGGTGGGTCTGCCTCTCTAACAACACCTGACTCAAATGTTAATCTTTTTTGGTAACACCCTTACAGAAACATACAGGAATAATACCTTGCATACTTCAATCTAATCAAGTTGACACTCAGTATTAACTATCACAGGGGGATAAGGCTTGTCAGAATGGCCAATATGCAGGCTGAAATCCTTTATGAAAAATAAAGCCCTCTGCCAAGTGTGGTGGGTGGTTCACACCTGTAATCCCAGCACTTTGGGAGGCCGAGTCGGGTGGATCACAAGGTCAGGAGTTCGAGACCAGCCTGACCAATATGGTGAAACCCCGTTACTACTAAAAATACAAAAACTAACCAGGGGTGGTGGTGTGTACCTGTAATCCCAGCTACTCAGGAGGGTGAGGCAGGAGAATCGCTTAAACCTGGGAGGTGGAGGTTGTAGTGAGCCGAGATCGTGCCACTGCACTGCAGCCTGGGTGACAGAGTGAGACTTCGTCTCGAAAAAATAAAGAAAGAAAGAAAAATAAAGCTCTTTTTTCCAAATTTATGAACCTCATCATTCTTCAGTTGACAGTACGTAGGTAGTGGTGATTCATGAAGGAATAGGGGAATGATCCCTTAATAATGCTATTTCACTTTACATTTATGTAGTGCTTTCTAGTTTATTAATGGCAGTATTGGGAAGAAAAAAATAAACTGCTTTAATGCTTATGTTTCCCTTTTCTTGCTCTCCAATACTGACTTCAGGACCTCTCTCTGGTTCTACCACTGTGCTACTGTAAATCAAAAATAACATTTCTTTTTTTTTTGGGGGGGGGGTATTCAATAGTTAAACTTTATTTTTATTTATTTTTATTTTTTTATTATTTTATTTATTTTATTTTATTTATTATACTTTTAAGTTTCTAAGCTCTCCCCCCAACAGTCGTCTGAATAGACCCCTGCTTTCAACCAACGGCATTCCAAAGTTAACCGTGTGAACCTAAAAGTATCTGAAACTCAATCAATTTATAAGGTTTATCTTGCCAAGTTTAAGGATGCACCAGAGACACAGTCTCAGGACGTCCTGATGCCAAAGGTGGTTGGGGTGCAGCTTGATTTTATACATTTTAGGGAGACATGAGACATCAATCAATATGTGAATGATATACCTTGGTTTGGTTTGAGAGGGCAGGACAAGTTCAAATTCGGGAGGGGGCTTTCAAGCCATAGGTAGATAAGAGACAAACTTGCATTTTTTATTTTTGAGTCTCTGGTTAGCCTTTAACTAAATACACAATTTACATTTGAGTGAAAGGTAAAGGAATAGTCATTTATGCCTTGGTCTGGTTTAGTATAACAATAGGGCAAAAGAAGCAATCAGATATCTGTCTCAGGTGGGAAGAGGGATGACTTTGAGGTCTGTCTGTCCTTTGTCCATAAGGAATTTCCTTGTGGGCAAATTTTGAGGGAAGCATGTGGCTTTAAAAAAAATCTTTGTAGCTCTTTTATTTAGGAATAAAATGAAAGGCAGGTTTGCCTGTTGCAGTTCCCAGCTTGACTTTACCCTTTGGCTTAGTGATTTGGGGGTCCCAAGATGTGTTTTCCTTTCACAACCTGAAAACTAGTTCAGGCTGTTACAGGTAGTTAGATAGGGATGAGTGGGGCAGGAGAGGGCTCTTTCTCCACCTGCTAGAAATGTCAGGTGATGGTTTGACAATTATCAGACTGCCTCTCTAAAAATGAAAATTTGGCAGCCCACCCAGGGCCAGGCAGAGGCCATTTCCTGATGATCCACAGCTATTAACATTAAAGTGTTAATTGAAAGCAGATGCCAGGGAGAAAAAGCTTCCTGGGCATGCGCACTAAGAGACAAAATGGTGAGATATGACCTTCCTGGTACAGTCCGCTGGAAAAAGAGAAGAAAGCCTCGGATGGGCATGAGTGCAACTTTCTAAATACAGTGTGCAGTGATCAGTTCCCAAGGGTAAGAAGGGCACTGGGCATGCAGGAAACCCACCCTAGGGGTAGAATCATGGGAACTAGGCAAACCTATAAAGCTCTGGGATCAAGGTTAAACGTTCTCTTTGTCCTTCAGGCGCCCTCTTGGATGTCTTCCAAGTAAGCTTTCCTTTCTTTCCTGTTCTAAAGCCTTTTTTTTTTTTTTTTTTTTTTTTTTGAGATGGAGTTTGGCTTTTGTTGCCCAGGCTAGAGTGCAATGGCGCAATCTCGGCTCACCACAACCTCCGCCTCCCGGGTTCAAGCAATTTTCCTGCCTCAGCCTCCTGAGTAGCTGGGATTACAAGTATGTGCCACCATGCCCGGCTAATTTTGTGTTTTCAATAGAGATGGGGTTTCTCCATGTTGGTCAGGCTGGTCTCAAACTCCAGACCTCAGGTGATCCATCCGCCTCGGCCTCCCAAAGTGCTGGGATTACAGGCGTGAGCCACTGTGCCCGGCCTTAAATCCTTTTTAAATAAACTTCCACTCCTGCTCTGAAACTTGCCTCGGTCTCATTTTCTGCTTTATGCCCCTCCGTCAAAGTCTTTCTTCTGAGGAGGCAAGAAGTTGCTGTGGACCCATGCAGATTCACCACTGGTAACTTGGGGTAACTCAGATACCTATCACCAGTAACAAGGCCATGATGGAAAAGGGGAGTCGGACATGCCTCATTATACTCTCCTGTCTTTTGGAATTCAGGCACAGATGACCAGCATTAACACTGAAATAGATGTGAAGACTGATAAAGTAGACTCTTTGAAGCAATAAAACACCAAATTCTAGCCTGACTCTAGCATAGCATCAAATGCCAGATAGCAGGCCCTGAAAGAAATTGAAGTATTTTACCCCAAATTATATTTTTCTGACATATATTGAAATGGCCTGGCAAAGCTGTCTCTTGTGAGAAAAATCTACATTCTATAGAGAATCCCCATTAGTTCATTGCTTTCTTTTCCCTGATCCAGGAGAGTCAACTCTGATACGAAACATTGACAATCTATTTTCTCTGAAGCCTGCTACCTGGAGGCTTCCTCTGCATAATGGGAATCTTGGTCTCTGCAACTCCTTATCTTAACCCAAACATTCCCCTCTATTGATTCTACATCTTTAGACAATAACTTACCTCTTTCAACCAATTACCAGTCAAAATCTTTGAATCTCTCCGTGAACTGGAAACACCCCTCACTTAGAGTTGTCCTTCCTTTCCAGACTGAACTGGTGTACATTTTACATTTTACATGTATTGATTGATGTCTTATGTCTCCCTAAAATTTATAAAACCAAGCTGTAGTCTGACCACCTTGGGCATGTATTCTAGGAATCTTTTAAGGCTGGTCACTCATATTTGGCTCATAATAAATCTCTTCTTTTTTCTTTTTATGGAGACTGAGTCTCGTTCTGTCGCCCAGGCAGTGGTGCAATCTCAGCTCACTGCAAGCTCCACCTCCCGGGTTCAAGTGATCCTCCTGCCTCAGCCTCCCGAGTAGCTGGGACTACAGATCTGTGCCACCAAACCCAGCTAATTTTTGTATTTTTAGTAGAGACAGGGTTTCAGTATGTTGGCCAGGATGGTCTCGATCTCTTGACCTCGTGATCCTTCCGCCTCGGCCTCCTAAAATGCTGAGATTACAGGTGTCAGCCACCACGCCCAGCCTAAATCTCTTCAAATATTTTGCAGAGTTTGACTCTTTCCATTGATACCATATACCTAAGAGAACTTACGACAAGACATTGTACTCATGTCTTTTTGGCAGTGTCAACTGTGAACTCCTTAAGGGTTTCCTACCTCTGGTCCCTTTGTCCCAGGCCCCACTGACAATCTCCAGGTTACTATGTTGCAGCCACAAGATAAGCATGTGTTAACTCTTTGTTAAGTAAATGAATAAATTAAAGGATGAGGTGAATATTAGGAGATAAATGAGACTGAGGGAGTATGTGCAGCAAGTATATTTTCATCAGCATAAATCAGATGTTCAATAAAAGTAAATCTCCTTATGTTCTCTTGCTGCTGTCTTCTAATTAGAGTTCTCTCCTCAGATAATGTCAAGAATTTAAAGTTGTCAATTAAAAGATAATGTCATCTCTTCTGAGCTAAAAGAGTCTCCTTTGTTTATATGCTTAGTTTTATGGTTTTTTTTCTCCCATTCCCTCCCCTTTTGCTTCCATTTGAGTAGATGGTTCTTACAAGGAGAAAATCCAGAAACTATCAATTGGCTACCTTGATGTGATCCTCTTCATGAGGAAGCTTGGACTTCTCCCTGCTTCACAGATGGGTTACGAGATAGTCCAGAGAAGCTGCATTCTAAGAAGCATTATGACCTGTCTTCTTAGAAACAACACGGCATCACTTTTACCACATTCTTTTGGTCACAAGGAGAGGGAATTACACATCACCTGATTTTGGATGCATGTGTGAGGTAAGGCTTAAAATTAAGTCCCAAGCTGATGTGGAACTGTAGCATAATAAATATATTTGGTCTTTGTTGCTGGTTTGTGGTACAGAGTTCTTGAAACTCTAGGAATTTCCTGAATGATAGGAATGTCTTTTGTTATTCATATGGTGGCCTACTTAATGACACTTTATTTTATGCTAGTGAATTGCCTTAAGATGGGGTCCCCAGATAGCATCAGGATGGGGGTGGTCACCAGAAACACCAAGAAATCAAAGCGTTGGAACATTAAGTTCTACCCACATAACTTTAGAGAAGAATGTAGGGAGAGGAGTTGAAGATTAAGCTCTATAAAGAAATGTGTAAACAATGAGCCTTGATGAGCTTCCAGGTTGGTGAATACATTCATGTGAAGGGGAGAGAGGAGAGTCACTCCTACCCTAACTCAACAGAGAGGTTCCTGGGCTCAGGACACCTCCAGACCTTGCCCTATGTATCCCTTCATCTGGCTATTTATGTGTATTTTTTATTGTATTCTTTCTAATAAACTGGTAGACATGAATAAAGTGTTTCCCTGAGTTCTATGAGCAATTGTAGTAAATTATCGAACCTGAGGGAGGGTTGTTGGAACCCCCAATTTAATGCCAGTCGGTCAGAAATAGCATAGCGAAGATGTGAACTTGTAATTGGAATCTGAAATTACAGGAGTCTTGCGAGACTGAGCCCTTAATTTGTGGGATCTGATGATAACTCTAGGTAGAGAGTATCAAAATTAAATTGAATTATAGGACACTCTCCTGGTGTCGGAGAATTGGTCAGTGTTGGAAAAAAAGCAGTATACATCTGATGTCAGAAATAGTGTAGAAAAAAATAAATAACCTTTGTTTTCTGAAATGTCTTGGTATCTGGTGAAATTCAGAAATCCTTGAATAGAGTAATTACAAGTTTCTCTCAGTACTCTGCTTCCACGCATAAGGTCTTCAAACCAAACAACCCTCCTTATCAAGAAGACTAGGCAGTTTCTGCTGAGCAAAGTGTTTCAGTTGCCCACTAGCCTGCAGAATTATTTAAACAAGCGAATCACATCCTCCTGAAGGAACTGAGATCACATCATCTTCTTGGTACTACAAAGACTGCCTTTCAAAGCCCCTCATTTTTCACTCTGTTCCCAAGGGCAACCCCCATTTGGCAGCGCATGGCATGTGGTATCCTCCTTCCCCAGGCTGTGAGTTCATGTGTCTAATAAATTGCTATTGATTTCATGTGTCCAGTGTTACGTGTTGTATGTTCAGACATCTCCATAACCAGTAGGTAGAAATCCCAGATTAACCCTAGGGGGTGATTGAGACAGCATTGCAAAATCACACTGTGCACACCATGTTAGATGTAGGAGGAAATATATTGTTGCAGTCATCTTTGGAAAATAAAATCCCCATTGATATTATTCCCTCTTCAAAACGGGATAGGAGAACCTCTCTAATATACCCTCAGTGAATTTAGAGGCCATCAAGAAAATTACGTTACTCAGCATTAAGTCTTATCTTTATCACTAAACTGCTTTGGATGGATAATCTCTATTCCAAAGCACCATTTTTGGCACTATAGTACCCATCTTGAAAGATGAAGAGTGTGGGAGATTTATTTATAATTTATGTACTTATTTATTTTTTATTTTTTATTTTGAGACAGAGTCTCACTCTGTCACCCAGGATGGGGTACAGTGGTACAATCTTGGCTCACTGCAACCTCCGCCTCCTGTTTAAGCAGTTCTCTGCCTCAGCCTTCCGAGTAGCTGGGATTACAGGCGCCTGCCACCATGCCCGGCTAATTTTTGTATTTTTAGAAGAGACAGGGTTTCACCATCTTGGCCAGGATGGTCTTGAACTCCTGACCTCGTGATCTACCCACCTCAGCCTCCCAACATTCTGGGATTACAGGTATGAGCCACCACGCCTGACCCATTTATTCTTTATTCTAGGTATGCTACTGTACTCACAAGACATCTGAAACTATACCCAGATCATCTAGAAGTGAACATGTTCCAGGTGATGTCCCTATGTAAACCAAGGGTTGGTTTTCAGTGGTAAGTTTTCACTTAGGCTTAGTCTGTTTCAATTACAGATTTTAAAGTCTTCTCTTCTGTGGCATCTTGGCTGTTTCAGGTATATTTGGAGATTTTTTATTTTTTTATTTTTATTTTTTAATGATGGGGTCTCTGTCACTCAGGCTAGAGTGCACTGGCACAATCATGGCTCACTGCAGCCTCAAACTCCTGGGATCAATTCATCTTCCCACCTCAGCCTTCCGAGCAGCTAGGACTACAGGTGTGTGCCACTATACCCTGCTAATTAAAAAAACTTTTTTTTTTTTTTTTTTTGAGACAGGGCCTTGCTCTGTTTGCTGTGTTGCCCAGGCTGGTCTTAAACTCCTGGACTCAAGTATTCCTCATGCCTCAGCCTCCCAAAATGCTGGAATTATAGGCATGAGCCACTGCACCCAGACTATTTGGAGGTGTTAATAAGTGTTCTGTGCTGTTAAATGGGGCATGTTTCTATGGATCAGTTTGGAAGGGAATCATCAGAGACTTAGAGCAAGAATGGGTGTCACTTGTACTGAAAAACTCATGGATGTCTTGCAGGCAGCTACAGAATGAAGACAGCTGCATGCTAAAAAGCTAGTACGGCACATGTGTGGCTAAAATTATAACCATTGATTAACAACCATGCAAATTTCTGACCATGGCAATGTTAATGGAAAAACAAAACACAATCAGATATTTTAAAGGGATTTATTCTGAGCCAATATGAGTCACCACAGCCAGAAAAGACAAAGTCTCCAAGAGTCCTAAGGAAATGCACCTGAGGTGGTTAGATTACAGTTTGGTTTCATACCTTTCAGGGAAGCAGAAGTAACAGGCAAAGACATAAATCAATACATGGAAAATATATGCCCGTTTGCTCCGGAAAGCTGGGATATCTTGAAGCAAGGGCTTATAGGTTGCTTTTAATGGCAAAAACCACAATTACTTTTGCACTAACCAGATATATGTGTATTTTATTATATGTATTATATATGTGTGTATATACTATGTATATATGTATGTATATATGTTTATATGTGTGTGTATATGTGTGTATGCATGTGTGTATATATGTATGTTTGTGTATATATGTGTATATATGCATGTATATGTGTGTGTATATATGTATGTGTGTATATCTGTATGTGCATATATCTGTATGTGTATATGTGTGTATATATATTCATGTATGTGTGTATATGTGTGTATTTATGTGTGTATGTATGTGTATATATGTGTATATATGTATGCATGTGTGTGTATGTGTGTGTATATATATGTATGTATGTGTGTATATATATGTATGTATGTGTGTGTGTATATATGTATGTATGTGTGTGTGCATATATATATTTGTGCAGTCCCCTTAAACCCCAAGATCTACTCTCATGTCCTAGGTGTCCAAGATCATGCCCATTGGTATTTCAGTCTCCTATCTCTTTCCAGAATAATTGATTCTCATTTCAGTCACTTAGGGTATAATTGTTTATTTTCTTTTTTCACTTATTGTGAAGGCATATACTCTATATCTTATTTCTTATGGGCTTTCTTTTCTGTTTTTCAATAGACTTCTCTTTTTTCAGAACTACCTGCCTCATGAAAATCAATTCCATTGACTTTCAAAGCTATTATTTCTTACAAGGCCTGTGAGAGTCCACATTAGAAATCAAAAAATATATTTCTCATTGCGTTAGGAATTAGTGATTTAATTCTTCTTGAGTTTTATCACTGTATCTAGTACATAAATGCTCAATAAATATCACTTATTATAAGTTGTTATTTTTTTAACTGATGAAGGATCAAACAAGTATTTAAGAATAGGGGCAAAGTATAAACTCAGGCCTATTGGTTCTAAATCCAGCAATCATCTAAACAAACAAACAAAAAGCTCTTTAAAAAGGATCAATTTGTCAAAAGTATGCTTCATGAGCTAGAAGAAATAGAGAATGGAAGAAAACTCTTCATATGTTTCCTAAAAAGAGATGTAAGTGTGGAATGAATAAATAAATGTTTCTTAATGTAGAAAAAATACTAAGGATAATGTTCAGTGAGTAAACATAGACGAGGTAATAGTATAAACATTTTAGACTCACATGACAGAAAGCAGGTCTCAATTACAGATTATCACAGCTAAATAATAGATGCTGGATTTTAAAGTTTTGGTTTAAAAAATGTGGCATAAAGATAAATATCAGACTGGGAAATACTGCAAGAAAAACTATATAATGGGCTTATTAATTAAATGTACATAATTTAAATATAATTCTATAAATCATTATTCATCTAGCCCAGGATGTTTGATATTGATCTTGTTGGAAACTGAAAATAAGCCTCTTTCTGGGCCATTGTTTCAGAAGTCTTTGGCTAGACTCAATACCACAGCTACACTACTTCCAAAAAAAAAAACAGGAGAGAACACAGTAGTTGTTAGAGAAAAATCACTGTTCTGTAGTCACCCCCAAAATATTTCCAGCTGAGGAGCACACATATTTATACGCACACATATTTATACACACACATATTTATACACACACATAAAAATCGGTGGCTCATGCCTATAATCCCAGCACTTTGGGAGGCCAAGGCAGGTGGATCACGAGGTCAGGAGGTCAAGACCATCCTAGCTAACATGGTGAAACCCCGTCTCTACTAAAAACACAAAAAAGAATTAGCTGGGTGTGGTGGCATACACCTGTAGTCCCAGCTCCTAGGGAGGCTGAGGCAAGAGAATCGCTTGAACCGGGAAGTGGAGGTTGCAGTGAGCCAAGATTGTGCCACTGTACTCCAGTCTGGGGAACACAGCGAGACAGCATCTCAAAAAAAAAAAAAAAAAAAAAAAAAAGGCTTTATTACAGGCACATCAGCTCTTACTCTCATAAACATGTAACAAATGAAGAACTGGAGGGAGGAACTGTAAAAAGAGAAGCAAAGGGGAAAAAGATGAGAGAGAGGGCAGAGGAAAAGAGAGGAAAAAAAGTAAAGAGAGATAGGAAAAGATTGAGATTAAATGATGATTTAGGAAAATCTCCTCAAAAAAAAAAAAATCTCAATTTTGGGTATCAGAACTTCCTAAATTACACGATTCATTTATTTACATGAATGTCTCCTCTCCCCTACTAGAATACAAGCTCCGTGGAACCAAGCAGTAGCTTTGCTAGGTTGACTTTTATAACTTCCTTAATGTGTTATATGGAATGTGTACTTAATAAATTGAATGAGAGATTGAATAAATAATTGATTATTAATGAATACATTAAAAAAGCAATAGATTAGACACCCAAAATAATGAACTTTCTTAACAGAAATGATTACGTAGCAGGGATAGTCATACAAGTAAGACTGAGGCTTCTTAGGTGTGTTCTGAATACCTTCTGCAAAGTTCTCCAGCTCAAAAAGTAACGACCCCACTGCCTATCAAAAACCCTGAAGTTTTCTATTAGAATTCATTGCTTTGGCCTCAAGGGCTTTTTTTGCCTTTAAGTGTTGTCTGTTAAATTACAGATGTCTCCGGGATATATAAAATGTGGAGCTATTATCAGATGAACCTCAGGAGGGATTAGTTGATGGCTGGTTTGGGTGAAGGTATGTGCCCAGGAAGAAAAAGGAGAAAAGGAAAGGACCTAGATTAAAGGAAAGTTTAATACATCAGGTGTTTTATGTATGCTATCTCCTTTAATCCTAAAACAAACAAACAAATCCACACTGTGCCATAGCTATTATTATGTCAATTTTTACTGAGAGGAGTCAAGGTTATAGAGGTTAAATTGCTAGCCTGAGATAATTCAGCCAAAAAGGAGAAGAGCTGGAATTTGAACAGAGATTAGTCAGATTCCTTCTTTTCATCAGGTAGTGCCCACTGACAAAGGCCAGGAGAAAATTTTAGGTCCTGAAAAGCAGTAATTTATATTCAGAGTGGGAAATATTGTGGTATTTTCTGGCTTCTTTTTCTGAAAGGCAACTAACCATTTATATTAGTTCACTGGGACTGCCATAACAAAGTACACCAAACGGGATGGCTTAAAATCATGTAAATTATCATCTCACGGTTCGAAAGGTTAGATTTCCAAAATATAGGTGTGTCAAGGCCATGCTCCCTCTGAAGCCTCCAGGGAAGGATTTTTTCCTGCCTCTTCCAGCTTCCAATAGCCCCAGGAGTTCCTTGATTTGTGGCAGCACAACTTCAATATCTGCCTCTATCTACACATCTTCTCTCTGTCTGTGTCTGTTTGGGTCTTCACATGGTGTTTCTTTCCCTGTGTATCTGTTTTCTCTTCTTATAGGGACACCAATCACATTAGATTAGGATCAGCCCTAATTAAATATGACCTAATTTTAGCCAGATTACATCAGCAAAGAACCTGTGTCCAAATAAGGTCACATTCACAGGTACGGAGCTTAGGATTTCAACACAACTTCTTGGGGGACACATTTCAACCCATACATAATTTATATCACTTGATTTATTCTGGAAATACAATATATAAAAACATACTTTCACCAAATGGATCATTTCAAAGAAAAGAAGAGAAAGGATGAAATCAAATAGAAAGAAAGGTTAGCGTTTGTTTCTCTTGAAAATGTTATTTGATTGTCTTGTTGGAAGCAAGGGTCTCCTGCATTTGCATTCACTCTAAACAAAAAGTTCCAGAGGGATTAGTGAAAAGCTTGGCTATGTGTACTATATGAATAAAATGTTGAGCAAGTGCTTCTTGGCTGTATTTCCAAGCAAAGCAACTCAATATATTACCATTTTGGAGATGAGACTGCTTCAAATGAGATTACCTCTGCATTGAATCTCGGTTGCTGTTGGAGGTTATTTATCCTTTCAAATGACCAACATATTTGCAAGACCCTCTAGAGTGATTGACTTTCTATTGCGCGCTTGCTGTTTTCTTATTTGTAGTAAGAAAAGACTTTAATAATCACAGCTGGAGCAGAAGCACTTTCAGTCTTAGGAGGACTTAAGACTCCTTGAACTTTATTTTGGAGTTTAGTTCATTTTTTGTTTGTTCCTGAATTTGTGATACAGAGGTTTCAAAGGCTCTGCCAATCCTGGCTTTAGTATTTTAGGGACAAATAATTTACACTTGATATCTTTGGGGTATAAATTTGAGGGAATAAGCAATACAGGAGCTATTTGCCCAGTATTCCTTTAGATAAGTAATTGGTCACAGCAATGGAGCAGTTTCAAAGAGATCTCTCTGTAGGCTCAGCACGCTGTCCCCATTCTGCCACACCTTTCTCTGCATCAGTCTTTATTTCTACAGCTGACACTGGAAAAGACTCTGGAAGGTCTGTCTCCTAACCGAAATATGCTCTTGGTATTTCCTTGCAGAATGCCTTGCTTTACTGCCTCTTTTAACAGACCCTTTCTGTGAGCAAATGGCATCTACTTCCATAGAAGTGTCTGCAAAGTGGGGAATGAATGTGGCTTGTCAGCACGTCTTGGGGTCAGAAGATTAGAGTGAGATCTTCCCAGGATTATTAGAATTCCATCTGTAATACTGCCTGCTATGGAGGGCAAATGAGCACCCTTGAAAGGGACAGTAATTGAATGAATTCACACATAAACCTAAACACACACACATGCACACACACGCAGTTAGCACTGCCTAGTACTTAACTTTGATTTAATTCATGTTCTATTGCTCACTTTTAATTGCATCACTCCATTCAAGAGGTACAAACAGAGGCAAGGCACATTCCAGGCGCTCATGAAGCTCACAATGCAATACAAGAAATACGACAGACAGGTACATGTCCTTAAAGGAGATAGGGCACAGACCCAGAAGTCTTCATCATTTCTCTCAGCTTGACTAAACTTTAGCCAGACTTCTTTTTCACTCTAGGTCTCTGAACTTGCCCTCATTCTGGTCCTTGCAGAATCCAGATGGCCTAAACACCGAGATCTCCTCTCTCCCTTTTATTAGAGCATTTACTTTAGAAAACTTGTAACTCTAAATTCATTTTCTGCCTCTTTATGATGTAAATCTTTAAAAAGTGTTTTTGCAGCCAGGTGCAGTGAATAATATTTTATATATATAGTACACATAGCCAAGCTTTTCACTAATCCCTCTGGAACCATCCTGGCCAACATGGTGAAAACCCGTCTCTAAAAATACAAAAATTAGCTGGGCTTGGTGGCGCGTGCTTGTAGTCCCAGCTACTCAGGAGGCTGAGGCAGGAGAATTGCTTGAGCCCAGGAGACAGAGATTGCAGTGAGCTGAGACCACGCCACTGTACTCCAGCCTGGTGACAGAGTGAGACTGTCTCAAAAAAAAAAGTGTTTTTGCTAGTTTTACAAACCAAAATTATCTTTCTCAAGGACCTGGGAGCCACCTTTTGAAATGTAATCATTAAGGAAAATACAACCCCAATCTCCCAATGTCTGTGGAAGGGTAGGAGCTTAACTTAGGTGGGTACTTTGCTCCAAGTTGTAAAATTACCTCCTGTCATGAAGATAGAAGAAAGTTTACTTTTTCTTTGGGTAAGGCCAATTAACAAACACAGGTTACCTGTGATTTAAGGACCCCCTCACCAAACAATATCTCAGATCTTAAAAACTCACCTGCCCTTTCTTTGAGCAGAGTTTAGACTACATTCAGGTTTCCCCCCTCTATTGTACTGGTTTTCAATTATATTCTTTCTTCCTGTTTAATTTTTTCCAGTGCAATTTTTGCTTTCACAGCACTAAGATACATACTCTGGAAAGTTCCACATCAGAATAATATACCTCTTGTTGGGAAAGTCATGGATGGTTTCAAAACAGTGGAAAAACATAAGTGAAATCTTTGGATTTTAATGAGTAGTATTTTCAAAAGGAAAAGCAAGAAAAAAATAAGCAAATATGAGAAGTAAAATTTACCAGCTGGTCAAAAATCAACTTGAAACGTGATTTTCACCCAATTATTAAAGCTAAGTCTTGAGTTTCTAGTCATTCACAATGGATGGATGCATGATGACTGTGACTATTAGAATTCCACGGGTGCAAGGCTCTCAGGCTCTCCTGCTTTTCTCATGATTCCTCTGTACCTCTCAGTCTGACCATCTCTTTATTTATTTGCCCTTTATTCTTTCTTCTGTCCCTCCCCTATCTTTATCTCTCTACATGTAGTCTCTTCCTTTGTACCCCTCAGCCTTTCTTTCCACCCCATTTTCTTCTCTTTCAAAAAAAGGAAACTGGAACAGAGAGAGGAAGCTAAGCTCACAGGCATCTCTCAGTCACTGCTCTTTAAAAAGGGTGAAAAATACAGAGCAGAGAAGCCAGAGGCCTTGGGACACTGAAGGGCAGAGTGAAGTAGAGAGAAAAAAAGGTAGCAGTTTCAAATTAAGATAATTCAAAAGGTGTGTAAAAGGATATTATTTTAATGTTGTCAATAGAATATAGGAAAACCACTCAGAATAGTGCAATACCACAGAACGACTATTCCAGAGCAGAAAGCTAACCCTATTTTTTCAAGAGTAAGGAGAGGAAGAAGTGTTTGGAACGTGTAGATGAAAAGCTGTGTGGAAAGTCACCCAACAGGAGCCATGGCTTTTCATTTGTGGATGGGGCCAGTCATAGCTACTACATTGGAAAAAAATATTTCAACCTTTTGATCCTCCTTTCTTTCATTTTCGTGTTGGTATTTCCCATTGGCCTAACTCTTCTGAAAGACAGAAATCAAGAGAGGCCATCAATGCCATCCCTTTGGGTCAGTCTTGAGGCAGCGAGGTGAATGGAGAAGGGAAACTTCTTGGTTTATAGGAATATCAAGGAATTGAAAACCCAGAGAGGGTGGGGGACACTAAGGAGCTGAGAAAAAGAAGATAAAGGACAGAAAGAAAACTGAAGTATGGAGGTAAGAGAAGCAGAAGGGCAGAGATTTCTGAATGTGGAGTTCTGACTCTCTGCAGTCCTCCTAGAATCTGCCAAACCATTAAATAAAAATTCCCATAAACATTATAAATAGAAGCAATGAAGAAGTAAGCCTTTAGGGAAATCAGTATCTTTGGTGGATTTGGCAAATTGTCATTGACAAATGATCTTTTGGCAAATGGAATAGGCTTTCAATAAATTGATTTTCCTTAAATCGGACTGCTTCCAAGAAAAATTATTTAATTAGAGAACTTTGCAGAACATTAGGTTTGGTTTGGCTGAATATGTAGTATCTGATAGGAAATATTGCTGTATTATAGAGATTGGAGCTCATATCAGTCAAGAGGCTATCAACCTCTAAGTGTCTAACCCACTCACAGCCTCACCACCATGATAAGAGCTGATTGATCCAAAGATAACTGTAGACTTAATGTAATTTAATTAACAATAATAGCTAACATATATTGAGTATATGCTATATGCCAGGTGCTATACTAAATGCTGTACACAGATTTTCTTTTCACTTAACTGTCATAATAACCTGTGTTGGTTATTGTCATTTGGCCTCCTTCTACCCCAGATTCATTCTCTACCTTGTTCTGTTGCCCACATGATTGATTTCTCCAGATTTCATCCCTTTACCTGACATTTGGTCGGGTTTTATTGATGAGAAACACTCATAGGAGATGGGAGAATGAAAGAAGGGTTCAGACATGTAAGCTTACCTATGTGTATCCTGCTCCCTCCTGACCTCACTATCAAAATTTCTGGCAGTGGCTGAGTCAATTCTTGTGATGTGACCCCTTTTCCAAACATTCAAGCTTTCAACCCAACTCTGGTAGCAACATCCCTTTAAAGCCAAAATGGACAATGCAGTGGTAAATGAAGACTTGTCGCTATCTTTAGTCTCTGGGTACTTGACTATTCTTTATTGCTGCCATTAACCTTGAATACATCTTCTGTAAATAGGCACTTTATTAACTTTTTTTGAGTGTGAAATTTACTTCCTGCCAAGAGCATGAGAGATACCATAACTCAATAAGAAAGATATCATATAGGTCTTATTTTATTTTATTATTTTTATTTTATTATTATTATTATTTTGAGATGGAGTCTCACTCTTGTCACCCAGGCTGGAGTACGATGGTGTGATCTCAGTTCACTGCAACCTCCATCCCCCACGTCAAGCGATTCTCTTTCCTCAGCCTCCTGAGTAGTTGGGATTACAGGTGCCTACCACCACGCCTGGCTAATTTTTGTATTTTTTAGTAGAGATGGGGTTTCACCATGTTGGCCAGGCTAGTCTTGAACTCCTGGCCTCAGGTAATCCGCCCACCTCGGCCTCCCAAAGTGCTGGGATTACAGGCGTGAGCCACTGCATTTGGCCCCAGGTCTTATTTTATATATGAGAAAATTAACAGAAGTATAAGGTATTTCTTACAAGGCTACACTGCTAATAAGTAATATGGCTAAAATTTAATGATAAGTAAGTGTAAGTAGTCTCCCGAATCTTCTATAATAATTATTATCCTGTATTTCTTTTCAATAACTGGGTTTTGAAGTATGAGGTTCACCACTATTCTACATGGATCTCAACTGTCAAAATCTGAACTCTCTGATATGGTAGCCACCAGCCACATGTATCTACTCAGTAATGGAAAAGTAGTTAGTGCCACATGTTGAAATGATAATGTTTTAGATGTAATTTAGATATAATATTATATCTGTTTTTTCTCCCTTTTAAAGAAATGTGTCTACTAAGTTTTAAAAATTACATATGTGGCTTGCATTATATTTGCATTAGGTAATTGAAAAGGTCACCCACTGGCCTTTGAGATGGCTTGGCATAAGGAGCTCTCTCAGTGTGAATAGTCCAAAGTGGCAGAAATTTGCTCAACTAGATTTTATCTCAGAGGGTTTTGTGTGCCTGACATACAGAGCATAGCAGAATTCAGGGGCATAGGTAAAAGTCAAAAGACACACAGAGGGAAGATAGCAGGTATGAGAGGAGCAGTTGTGATTTATCAGATCCAGGAACAAGCATAAACTTATGCAGTAGAGAGAATACAGGCAACTTAGTTGATGGAGTAGAAATAGATGTGGAGAGGAGTTAGTTCCAAAATGATTAAATGGTATTGTAATGAAGGATTGAAGAACTTCTTATTATCAATAAGAGAAAAGAAATGTCTTGTTAAAATAATCAATTGCATTGTTCACAAAAGCATATTCTGGTTGTCTATGAAGGCTGCCCTTTCATGAAGTCAACACTTTCTGTCACATATTACTTCCAATATATCCTCATTGTCAAGCCTCAGTGATTAAATGGCCCTCATTACTTGTTCTTCTGTCTCAAAGAGCCTAAATAATCCAGAACCATACAATGGAAGGACTTCAGTAGAATGGCCTATGATTGGACATGGTGGTACAAGTTTAAGAGTCCCCACAACCATGACTTCTGACACTAATGAAAAGTTCTGTGGTTCCCAAGAACCCCTTTACTTCTGACACCAATTACAAGTTTAGGGTTCCTAAAAATCACCTTCAAGTTTGATAATTTGTTAAATGAACTCTTACAACTCATTGAAAGCTGTTATACTCAGTTATAGCTCAGTACAGCAAAAGGATACAGATTAAAATCAGATAAAGATAGAAGAACATAGGGCAGGGTCCTGGAGAGTTCTGAGAATGGAGCTTCCAATTGTCTTCTCCCTGTGGAATTGTGCAGATAGTGCTTACTTTGCCCAGCAATAATGTGTGATGATACATATGGAGCACTGAGTACAACCAACTCAAGCGTTGATATCTAGAATTTTTAACGGGGGCTTGGTCACATTGACAAAATTGACTTCTGACATGACTACCCTTAGCCTCCAGCATCTGCAGATGTTGAGCTGACAAGCATGGCCCAAGGCCTCCCCACATAAATCATGTTGTAGCATTAGACTATCTAGTGTGACCCAAGGCTTTTAGGTAAACAAAGACACTCTTATCAGGCAGGACATATCTAGGGTTTAGAGATGATCTTTTAGGAGCCTTAAGGAAGGGCCAAACAATTCTCTGGGCAAAGTCAATCTTTACTACACAGAGGATCTTGATTTCAATGATCTATGATGAAGAGCCTTGAATGCAATGACATCTCTCTGCCCAAACATTGGTAGGCACTGGGGGATCTATTGAATAAATGCCTTTTATTCAGTGCCAATATAGATATGAGAAGAAAGAAATGCATTTAACCTGCTGCATTTTCTTCTATTGATTTTCTTTTCCCTTCTATTTTTATCCTATTTTTATTACCCCTCCTCTTTTTTTTCTGTTTTCTCATCGTTGATGCCACATTTCCTTAGTAACCTAAACTGTTTGTGATGACCCAGTAGTTTATGCAGAACAAATACTATTCTTCCTCTTTCTTGCAGAATATCAGAAAATGCTGTAATCTTGTACTTTTGACTGATACTATAGAGAGAGGCAATATGACCTTTGTAATACATACGTTTTCCAATTTATATTGGTGGATTTCTTTTCTAATAAAAGCAGTTTCTCTCCTACAAAGATTTATGTCATCTCAAGAGATGGTAAAATCTATCTCTCCATTACTATAGTATGTTATCAAGAATATTATCCAATTATGAAACCACTTTTGCAAAAAAATATAACAGTGAAAGAAATCTAGCATGGCTGACTCCATATTGCTTCTATCCCCACAAGCTGGCTATCCTTGCTCATTTCTGGGTGTGGGCCAAGTTAACCATGGGAGTAATTTAGTTTATTGTTTAACTTTGAAGCAAGGATAATAATAATCTCTCCCTAAAATTGACTTCCTTTTAGTTTGGGGACTGAAATCACCTTTGTAAAACTAATAAAAAAACACAACATTAGGATTATGTCAAGGGCCTTGATATGGTTTGGCTGTGTCCCCACCCAAATCTCATCTCAAATTGTAGCTCCCATAATTTCCACATGTCATGGGACGGACCTGGTGGTAGGTAATTGAATCATGGGGGCAGGTCTTTCCCATGCCCTTCTCATGATAGAGAATAAGTCTCACGAGATCTGATGGTCTTATGAAGAGGAGTTCCCCTACATAAACTTTCTCCTGGCTGCCAACATGTAAGATGTCCCTTTGCTCTTTCTTAATTTTCTACCATGATTGTGAGGCCTCCCTAGCCATGTGGAACTATGAGTCCATCAAACCTCTTTTTCTTTATAAATTACCTAGCCTTGGGTACGTATGTATTAGCAGTGTGAAAACAGACTAATACAGGCCTGAATTCTTCTAAGATGTAGGCACAGTTAAAGAATAACTAGCCATTGATTTTCTATAATCCCTTACAACTCAGGAGTCATGTGGCCATAGGTCAAAATGTTTGTGATTTCCTCAATTGCTCCTATAGATAACATCACTATTGTAGAATCTACGATTGGTCTTTTGAAATGTTTTTCAGCCTTTTGCATTCTGGTGACTGACTGTCTCCACCCAGGCCGGTGACTCATTACTCAACTAGTCCTGTGGCCCCCACCCATAGGCTACTTTGTGCACAAGGACCATTCTCGACAGCTCTATGATTTTTATCTCCAATCAGAAGCACCCATTCCCTAGCCCCTTCTTGCCAAATTATTCATAGAAACTCTAGTTCATGGTGAATTCTTGGTGAGGCTGATTTGAGTAGTAAACTCCTGTACTTCTGCTCCACTAGCTTTCTGTTAATTTAACCGTTTCTTTACTATAATACCACCATCTCCATGAGTTAGTTTTGTCTGTGCAGCAGGCAAGAAGGACCTGTCAGGCAATCACAATCACAGGGAGGACTATTCAGTGGGAGATAATCTTTTAAATTCATGTTATTCAGCATGAGATAATCTTTTAAATTCATGTTCTTTTAATTTTTAGGCACAAGATATTTTGCTATGAGTCAAAGGTGTCTCCCAAACCCCAAATTTTAGAGGCAATAGAAAAGATGGCAACCAAAGAAGTTTCCTACAACCTACATAGCAAATAAAAGGAAGAAAAAAAAACATCAGCTCTACCCTATCACAAATGGAGCCTGTAACACATTCTAAGATAAAATGTAGTAGACTATCACCAGGAATTATAGATAATAAGAAGGAGAAACAAACAAAAACAAAGGAGTGTATAATAATAAAAACCTAACAATAAGGCTGACTGAAATAAGCTCTGCATTGCCAAACTGTATTCCACTGGAGGAGCCCCCATTTGAAGTTTTCTCATCTCTTTATACTTCCTTCCTCTTGAAGCTATAAAGCCTCATGCAATATAGTAGTAATTACTGCTGTGCATTAATCTTTTATACCCCATTACTTCCCAGTCACCAGATAGGATTATATTTCTTAGAATCCCTTGTTTGGCTGGGGCAAGTGACAGTCCTGGCCAAAGAGTAATGAGCAGAAGAAATGTGCGTCACTTCCATTAGAATAATTTAATTGTTCATGCAAAGACTCTCCAGAACTTTCTCTTTTCTTTATGACAACTTTTGATTTCCAGACAGTGGTTTTTCCCTGAGAATGAAATGTAATGACAATGAGCAGCGTGAGTGCCCAGCCAGTCAGAGATTGACACGCAATATAAGTGAGGTATAAACCACTGTTGTTTTAAGTCAATGATATTTGGTGATATTAACACAGCATAACCTGGCCCATTCTCACCTATACGTGCAGCTATGAGAAATGATAAGCAAAGTCAGCCTAGCAATGATTATAAATAAAATTATCTTCTTTCCCTAAGCTTTGACCCTGAAGAATGGTAGTCTAAAACTGAACCCTATCTTCATTACAGATTTAAACCTCTGAAAATGGTTAATTAAATTGTGTTGTCTGGGCATGGTTGCTCAAGCCTGTAATCCTAGCATTTTGGGAGGCCAAGTCAGTTGGATCACTTGAAGCCAGGAGTTTGAGACCAGCCTGGCCAACATTTTTACCATCTCTACTGAAAATACAAAAATTAGGTGAGTGTGTTGGCACATGCCTGTAATCCCAGCTCTTGGGAGGCTGAGGCATGAGAATCACTTGAACTTGAGTGGCAGAAGTTGCAGTGAGCTGAGATCATACCACTGCATTCCAGCTTGGGCAAAAGAGTGAAACTCTGTCCTAAATAATAATAACAATAATACTAAATAAATGGTGTTCACTGTAGTTCATAGTGAAAAATGTAAATCACATCTCATTCAAATGGACCCAAAATAAAGATAGCTCTAAAATTGCATCATTCTGTACATTGCTAATGACTATTGAAAGATGTGGAAATATGATCAATACATCAATTTGAAACATTTCAAGTATTCGGGAAAGAGTGCTATTTAAGGTGAATATCAGTGTTACTGGATTTTTACATTTTCCATAGAATGGGTGTGGATGGGATTGCAGCATTGCCCATCTTTCTTCCAGCAGCTCTGCTCTACCACTACCTGTATTCCATACCAGATGTGGACTTTATTTTACATACGCTAATTTCCTTGAAATATAATTTCAAAATATATTTTAAACTAATCTAGTGTTTGACTTATTTTTTTATACTTTTGACCTGTTACAAGTTAAGAGTTAAGGTGGCAGAAAATAAACTTGGCAAATAACCATTCTTTTACTCATTTCGTCATTGGTCTTTGATGGCAGGATCCTTATACTTAGAAGCTCGTGTATAAACCTGGAAAGACAACTAGGAGAAAGATGATAATGTGACCACAAATGATACACAAAATTTAATTCCAGAAATGTTTAGAGTGCCATCAAAACTTTATGCAGGAAGAATTATGTGTGTGTGCAAACTGAGATGTGGTTAGATCCAAGGGCCTTTAATATGAATTGATCAACAAGAAAGAATTTATGAAGCTCCTGTGCCATTTGACCTCAGTAAATGGGGGTGCCCTTTTAACCACTGTAGTCATCTCGATGAAATATTTAAATAGCTATATATATATATATTTTATGCTGTCAAATTTAGAAGGCTTCTGTTACCACAGTTACTCCATTTGTAGATGCCAGGGAAAAATATGCATATGCATTATTGCTAAAACAGGTCTCTTTTAAGGTTTCCGAGGTTTCAATATTGTGACCCCAAATCAGACAAATGAATAATAATGAAAAACTGTAGATAAAGCAGGTGAGCTTTGAAACATGCTACATGATTAATGGTAAAATTAATGGGACTGGTAGAAAATGTAATCATTAAGTGACTGTCTAGTGGCCCAGAGATCAGACTATACACGTATTATCATGTCCTTTGACAGTACTATCCCAAACTCCTGGCCTCAAGTGATCCTCTCACCTCTGCCTCCCGAAGCTCTGGGATTATAGGCTGAGCCACGGTTCCCAGCCTTTGACAACACTAGAAACCCACCTTGCATAAATAAAGCAATTATTATAAGCATATGGGCAAGAAAACCATAGAATAATTATTGTTGCAAGCTTTCTCATCAGAGACAGAGGTCCCAGCCTCAGCACTGTCATTTTCTAATACTAAGGCATTACGCCATTTTGTTTATTCAACATATATTTATTAAGAACCTATAATGTATTGGAGTTTTCGTAATGGGCACTGGGCATACTTGGTGGAACCAAGCAAACAAACAAGCAAGAAGCATATATAACTCCTGCCCTCACTAAGCTTATAGACTAAGATAGGGGAGGCAGAAATCAAAGAATCATCAAATAAGTGAACAGTCTCATTTGTGAAAAACATTACCAAGGACAGTATATTAGAGGAGGAATTGACCTAGTCAGACTCTCTTCTGCACATTGAGTGATATTTATACACGTATCTTAGGATTACTGTGAAGATTAAGAGAAAAATATATATTAACAGCTCACATAAAATAAGAACTGTACAAATTTTCCCTGTTTTCTCTATTCTTCTAAATGCAGGTGAATGCAGTGCATTAATTTCCAGATAATTTTTCTTGCTTATTGCAGGATTCTGAAGTGTTATGAATGGTCTTTATTAGGAGGAAATGCTAATGGGCATGTTTTCCCTTTTTTTTTTTTTTTTTTGAGACAGAGTTTCGCTTTTGTTGCCCAGGCTGGAGTGCAATGGCGTGACCTTGGCGCAACCTGTCTTCTGGGTTCAAGCAATTCTCTGTGTCAGCCTCCAAAGTAGCTGGGATTACAGGCATGTGCCACTACACCTGGCTAATTTTGTGTTTTTAGAGGAGTCGGGGTTTCTCCATGTTGGTCAGGCTGTTCTCAAACTCTCGACCTCAGGTGATCCACCTGCCTAGACCTCCCAAGGTGCTGGGATTACAGGCATGAGCCACTGCGTCCGGCCCCAAAACTGTGTTTTAAAAAATTTTATAGTCATTTGGGTATATACCCAGTAATGGGATGGCTGGGTCAAATGGTATTTCTAGTTCTAGATCCCTGAGGAATCGCCACACTGACTTCCACAATGGTTGAACTAGTTTACAGTCCCACCAACAGTGTAAAAGTGTTCCTGTTTCTCCACATCCTCTCCAGCACCTGTTGTTTCCTGACTTTTTAATGATTGCCATTCTAACTGGTGTGAGATGGTATCTCATTGTGGTTTTGATTTGCATTTCTCTGATGGCCAGTGATGCTGAGCATTTTTTCATGTGTTTTTTGGCTGCATAAATGTCTTCTTTTGAGAAGTGTCTGTTCATGTCCTTCGCCCACTTTTTGATGGGGTTGTTTGTTTTTTTCTTGTAAATTTGTTTGAGTTCATTGTAGATTCTGGATATTAGCCCTTTGTCAGATGAGTAGGTTGCGAAAATTTTCTCCCATTTTGTAGGTTGCCTGTTCACTCTGATGGTAGTTTCTTTTGCTGTGCAGAAGCTCTTTAGTTTAATTAGATCCCATTTGTCAATTTTGGCTTTTGTTG
Source organism: Homo sapiens (assembly GCF_000001405.40). Classification (NCBI taxonomy): domain Eukaryota; kingdom Metazoa; phylum Chordata; class Mammalia; order Primates; family Hominidae; genus Homo; species Homo sapiens. The sequence goes on along the minus strand of NC_000011.10, from coordinate 41,695,651 downwards.
CCATTGCTTTTGGTGTTTTGGACATGAAGTCCTTGCCCATGCCTATGTCCTGAATGGTAATGCCTAGGTTTTCTTACACATGCACACGTATGTTTATTGTGGCATTATTCACAATAGCAAAGACTTGGAACCAACCCAAATGTCCAACAATGATAGACTGGATTAAGAAAATGTGGCACATATACACCACGGAATACTATGCAGCCATAAAAAATGATGAGTTCATGTCCTTTGTAGGGACATGGATGAAATTGGAAATCATCATTCTCAGTAAACTATCGCAAGAACAAAAAACCAAACACCGCATATTCTCACTCATAGGTGGGAATTGAACAATGAGATCACATGGACACAGGAAGGGGAATATCACACTCTGGGGACTATGGTGGGGTGGGGGGAGGGGGGAGGGATAGCATTGGGAGATATACCTAATGCTAGATGACGAGTTAGTGGGTGCAGCGCACCAGCATGGCACATGTATACATATGTAACTAACCTGCACAATGTGCACATGTACCCTAAAACTTAAAGTATAATAAAAAAATAAAAATAAAAATAAAAAAATAAAAAAAAAAATTTAATCAGAAGGTCACCATTTGGCAAACTCATTTTTCTATTCTCTTATAAAGCACAATGAGATCTTGCCTTAAAACATACTTAAGATAAAAGAATCTTGAAAGTTGTCACGAATACATTTTGCAAATGCAATATCCAAGACAATAGAAAAACTTTATAATAAATTTCAGTATAGAGAGAGGGAAATTGCAACTGTGTCAAAAATATAAGAAATAAAACTGTGAAAGATGAACTGAACCTCAGTGGTAGAAACAGAATTTTCATTTAGGCCTTATCTAGTTCTCTTTGAGGTGAATGAATAATGAAACATGGGGAAATTAGAAAATTTAATAACCCACTTTTTAAGAATTCACAGATGTTTCTTGAGAAATCTATCAGAATTTTTTTAAAACCTGCCTTCTTAAAGAGATCTTTTAATTTTGGAATAGGGTAGGGCACACATCATGTTGGTGTAACAATCACATTATGAAAACACAGCTAGAATGCTGATGGGTGGGGGTAATACTTGGGAGACACAATGAAATTTAATGTTCTTGGTTTGGGGAAGAGACAACACTACCTATATATCATAACGCCTTGCCTCTTACACGGTAATAAAAATAGATATGAAAAGCTAACTGAAACCTAGACATTATCCATAGTTTGCTCAGGTTAACTGAACTAAGGAGATTCTGAAACTTAAGAACAACAACAACAACAAATCCTTAAGCCTTTTTTCAAGTGATGCACTTGGGAAATAAGTGAGCCAGAAGGGAATGTCTCTGCTTTTGCTAGGAGAGAAATATAGTAACTAACCCAAAAGAGCCTTAGATAAAGATTTTTAGTTTCTATAGCAGTATTCCCAAAATGTGGTATGCATTAGGGAAGAGATGTGTAATATAAAGCAGGAAAAAAAAAAAGAGTCTTTTCTTAGACCATATGGCTTGAAACATTTAGGCTCTTAAGGGAATCTAACTGTTGGCATGTAGGAAAAACTTGGGGAGAAAACAGTATGAGGTTGTGTGTCATGTACTCCTATCTACTCATTACTCTCTGTCCTTCATATTAGAAAGGACTCTCTAGAATGGTAGAGAAAAATTAGATTCAGAGAAAACATGAGAGCAGAGATGCGGGTAAGCCTTAGAGGAAGGGGCCCTGTGCCCACTCTCTAGGCCAAGTCCCAGAAAACGGTGAACCATCAAATACATTCATAGAATTGAAACATAGAGTCCTGTGCCAGCAGTGAGGTAGCAAAGGCAATTGAAGGAAAAGAGGGGCTGGATCTACCCTGGGCACAGGCAACAAAGGAGTATAATGTCTGACATGAATTGAACAACAGCAATAAAACCAACTAGAAGTCTGCTTCTTTTTTAAATCATCATTTGCAGGTTATTCTAAATAATGTTGATGATAAAATGATTCTCCCAGATAAGAATATTTTCTTAGTCTTAAGTTTTAAATAACTGCTGTAGTTAATGTTGAATTTTAATAATATATACATAAACTAACAATTAGCACGTACGTTTGAAAATTTATCTTTTAACATATATTGTATTCAACATAGCAGTTTTTCAGTGACCTCCTAGTTATTCCATTGGTCTCTGTAGTGAGTTAATGGTAGCTTCCAAAAAGATATGTCCATGTCCTAATCCCCCAAACCTGTAAATGTTACCGTTATTTCTAAATGGATCGCTGTAGAAATCATAAAGGATCTTGAGATGAGACTGTCCTGGATTACTGGGGGCGGAGGACCCTACATTCAATGAAAAGTGTTCTTAGAAGAGACACACTGGAGAGGGACACATAGATAAATGGAGATTATATAAAGACAGAGGCAGAGATTGCAGTGAGGCAGCTGTACAAGCCCAGGAATGCTGACAACCACCAGAAGCTGGAAGAGTGAAGAAAAGGATCTTCCCTAGAGTGGGTGGAGGAAATGTGGGGCTCCCAACACCTCGATTCAAACTTCTGGCCTTCAGAACTGTAAACGAATTAATCTCTACTGTCTTAAGCCGTCAATTAATTTCATCCAGCCACCCTAGAAAACTAATACAATCCCTAACCCACAAACTCAGTTACAAGAAAAGTCATTCCTAGGGTAACTTTAAATATTGAGAGCTATCCTTGTTCTTTTTTGCATCAGTTGATGATTTCACACACTACCTTTAAAAAGAATATTCAAAATCAACAATGATAGCACAATGATTGTAAAATCCTGAAAACAAGACTTGAATTACTTTACTTCTGCCGTAACGTATGATTAATGACATTTTTTACTTGTGCTTTAACATTTAAAATAGTAAAATGGAGCCTGAAGTATAACTAACAATATTTTTGTTTGGTAAGTATATGTTTTCATTTGTAACATAAATATTTTATTGAATTTGGGTAAGATTCTTTATATTTAAAATTTCCATCTTTTTATTTTAATTATGATTAAATTATAATAGTGTTATCACAGCAATAGGGTACTAATTGTTTAAATATTTTTCCACTTCCCCCCATAAATTAATGTAATCAAAAAGCATAAATCTACTTTTTTTGTATTGCCATTTTTATTAGTTATTTTTTACTGGGCGTAATTATATACACAAAGTTTAATAGAAGACAATTTTCATTGCTTTTCTTTTTTAACCACTATTATTATTTATGCCATTTCATTGATAATTACTGAATATAATTTTGAAATATAGAGGAGAGTTTTTAAAAATGAGCTCTTTGGGACATAAATATGCTGAGAATGTCCATAGCTGGGCTGTACACTGGTTAGAGCCCAGTGGTAGGGCAAATTCCTACAGGAGAAATGGCAATTGCTTTACCAGGTAGATGAGACCATAGTGTCACCAGGGTTCCCTTGGCCTGGGACTCTTCGGAATCAGGAGAAGTCTCATGTGCCCCATGTTGGCAATAATGAACTAAAAGAGTCATCAGACCCACAGACTGTGCTACGGTAACTTTTGTGTACCAAAGTCTAAAGATAACACTAAAGAAAACTGGGCTTACCTGATCTAGATGGATATTTAGAATTACTCCCTTTTATTTTTCACCACTGACATCTTTGTAAGCTTTCTCAAATACCATAATAAGAGGAGTGGGTGGTGGGGCATCCAATTGAATAAAAATATATCTCTACCTCCTTTCCAGAATGAGAGCTAAAAATAGAAATTTAGCTAAATTTAAGAAAAAAAGTTGCCTTTTTGCCTCACTTACATTGTGGAATGGAATGCAAATCTGTAACATACATTTCCCAAAAAAGTAAACTGAGATTCAGGTAATGTTACTGACATGATCTAAGGTCTCACAAGTAATTTTAAAAAGTACTAAAATTCTGACCTAGGTCCATCTCATTTAAAGAACACCAGCGTTTCTACCATGTCAGGCAATCACCCCAGAAACTACTAAAACTTCTGGTCCATAGAAAAATGATAAGCTGGGACTATTGCAGGAGTGGGGCAAATTGTGGGCCTCTAGGTTTTAAGAGGATTAGTTCCTGCTAAATTCCTGGTAATATTTATCCTTAGCTTACCTTGGAAGAACAGGATTTCCTAGTACCAAGCTGGATTCATGTTTCCAAATCTCAGCTCTAACTCTCATCAGTTGTGTGATTTTGGGGAATTGTCTCTAGCTATCAGTCTCTGCTATTTTTATGTCTTAGATGAGGAGATAATGAATTCACAAAGATTAGGAATTATAAGTATAAAACACTTGGAATGTAGTAGTGTATTATAAACTGGATCTATTTTATTATACCTTTCTAAAGACATAGCATTCTAGAGTGGTTGTAAATACTACTATAATTCCACACACAACCTCTGGTAACTAGTATTTGAAAAGATGTCTTAACTGAGAATGAATGTTTTTATTTATTCATTGATTATTTTTTGTTTTTGCTGACAACATTGAGTATCCAGGCCTGCCTGATGGATACAGAGAAAGGTTCGAACTAGACAGGGTATTAATTTCCTTAAAATTTTCTTTCTGTTGTAACTTGCTGATCTTCTCAGCATGAAATTGATTAAGAAATTCACATCACTTAATTCTCTTCATAATCACCTAGTGTGAAACTTGCAAGGAAGAACTTTTTTAAAGAAAGGGCAATGAGCTAAGGGAGGCGTGCAGAGGGGTTACAGTTGGGTATTCACGTGCAAGATTCTCCGTTCTTAGGAAATTCCCAGATAAGCAGTATTCCCTGCTGGGCTTCACAGATGGATCAGAAATCTGGAAAGCTAGTACTTGGTAAAGACAGTGGGTTTAGAGGATAACAAGTAGAGAACAGGCACCAACAAATTGTGACAAACATGAAAATGGACGAAATTAAATAAGTCATCCTGGCTATTTGTGAAAGGAAGTAGTATAATAGGGAGTGAAGAGTGCATCTGGGACCAGACTGTGTTAAAAAGAGGCCCTGTAAAATAGTTTTACAGGAAAATAAAGGAGAAAAGGATGCAAGCAAATATCTGTGATAGAAACTTCATTTCTCAGAAGATGGTTACCAGGAAGTAGAAAGAACATGGGGTTTTGAAGATGGAAAGTTGTGGGACTGAATCTCTTCCAGGTTAATAATTGTGTGAGGTTTGTCAAGTTACTTAACTTCTCTGCATCGCTGTCCCTTTTTTTGTTAGGTATTATTTGTTATTTCTTCACTTTTTGATAATTTAGGAGTTAACTTCCCTCCACACACTATTCTATGCCTTTGATAAAGCTATTAAATTTGATAGGAATTCCATGTCCCTACATACATCAATTCTGGCTGATTGAGCTCATTTAAGGCCATGGTGACATCTTCCATCTCTGTATTACATGATGACATGTCAAGGTGAGAAGCTGATAATTTTTTCTTGTGTGCTTGCTTGGAGGGTGCATGGAAGGGGAATGGTACCTCTCTTAGACCTTTGCAAAAGGAGGTAGGCTTATATCCATTTTTTTTTTTTTTGAGATGTAGTCTGTCTCTGTCACCCAGGCTGGAGTGCAGTGGCGTGATCTCGGCTTACTTCAACCTCTGCCTCCCGTGTTCATGCCATTCTCCTGCCTCAGCCTCCTGAGTAGCTGGGACTACAGGTGCCCACCACCACACCTGGCTATTTTTTTTTTTTTTTGTATTTTTAGTAGAGATGGGGTTTCACAGTGTTAGCCAGGATGGTCTCGATCTCCTGACCTCGTGATCTGCCCGCCTCAGCCTCCCAAAGTGCTGGGATTACAGGCCTGAGCCACCACGCCCGGTCTGTATCTTGTTCTTTAGAGGATCTGCTATGACTCTTCTTTAGCCATATTCTTTCCCATTAGGCAAGAATTCTCTGAGGCTCCAGAAATATGCCCACACTTAACACATGTCCTCTTCTGGATCGTGCTGCAGAGACTCGGAATGCAAGAATTCCCTGCCTTCGTTGACTCTGAGAGGGCTTTCAAGGAGGGATCTGTGGGCTTCTCTGGTGATGTACTGACCTCTAGACCTCAAGTAAGGATGTTTAGGTGAGGAGACATACATGGGGTTGGGGACTCTGGGCTGAGGTAGCCCCCAAAGCAAGTGAGGCCCCTAAATGCCACAGAGTAAAATATAGCAGGAAAAAAAAAAAAAAAAAAAGGTTACTGGACCCAGACCAACCCTCCTCATACAGCCAAGTCTGGCATGGGACTCTGAGGTGTCTTAGAATTCTAAAGTCAAACCTGACCTTCCATGTCATTACAAAAGTCAGGAATAGATTTTTTTTTAGCAGCTTGATTTATATCTTTTAAATATTTAGATAAATGTCAAACTATTCTCCATTTGTACTCTTGCTGATGTTAGGGATGTTAGGGGTGTACCTGGGGAAATTCATCCTCGCCATCCTCCTTTTAATGGCAAAAGAAAGAAGCTGCATTATACAGCATGGATGCTAATTTCTGAATCACTTGAATATCCTGTTTGTAGGGCATTGTCTCATTCCAGAGTTCCAAGAGCTCCAAAGCCCAGAACTTCCTCTGTGTTTTGATCCCATGTATCTACCCTGGGCCTCTTTCTTTAGATAGGCTTTTATGTTTGACAATAAATAGATTGGAAAATGGTTGATGAAACACCGTGGTCTATGCCTGTTAAAGTTTTTTTTTTCTTTTATTATAATTTTTTTTATTATTATTATACTTTAAGTTTTAGGATACATGTGCACAATGTGCAGGTTTGTTACATATGTATACATGTGCCATGTTGGTGTGCTGCACCCATTAACTCGTCATTTAGCATTAGGTATATCTCCTAATGCTATCCCTCCCCACTCCCCCCACCCCACAACAGTCCCCGGTGTGTGATGTTCCCCTTCCTGTGTCCACATGTTCTCATTGTTCATTTCCCACCTATGAGTGAGAACATGCAGTGTTTGGTTTTTTGTCCTTGAGATAGTTTGCTGAGAATGATGGTTTCCAGCTTCATCCATGTCCCTACAAAGGACATGAACTCATCCTTTTTTATGGCTGCATAGTATTCCATGGTGTATATGTGCCACATTTTCTTAATCCAGTCTGTCATTGTTGGATATTTGGGTTGGTTCCAAGTCTTTGCTATTGTGAATAGTGCCACAATAAACATACGTGTGCATGTGTCTTTATAGCAGCATGATTTATAATCCTTTGGGTATATACCCAGTAATGGGATGGCTGGGTCAAATGGTATTTCTAGTTCTAGATCCCTGAGGAATTGCCACACCGACTTCCACAATGGTTGAACTAGTTTACAGTCCCACCAACAGTGTAATAGTGTTCCTATTTCTCCACATCCTCTCTAGCACCTGTTGTTTCCTGACTTTTTAATGAGTGGCACTAAAATAAAGAAGTATCAAGGAGTGAAAGAAGTCATACAAAATTCAAAGTTCTCCCCGTCTCCACATATTCCTCAAACAATGCCCAAGAAAAGGAGAAATTAAGCCTCAGCATTCCAAGGCACCTCATGCAAGTCAGCAAGTTAGAAAAACAATTACTATAGATAAAACAATGATTCATTGTGGGTGCTAGAAACTTAGAATATAATTGAATGTGCAGTGGCTCACACGTGTAATCTCTACACTTTGGGAAGCCAAGGCAGGAGGATCACTTAAGCCTAGGAGTTTGAGACCATCCTGGGCAACATAGCAAGCCCATCTCTACAAAACTTTTTTTGAGACAGAGTTTCGCTGTGTCACCCATGCTGGAGTGTAGTGGTGCGATCTCAGCTCACTGCAGCCTTTGCCTCCCAGGTTCAAGCGATTCTTCTGTCTCAGCCTCCCGAGTAGCTGGGACTATAGAGGAGCGCCACCATGCCTGGCTTATATTTTTATTTTTAGTAGAGATGGAGTTTCACTGTGTTGGCCAGGCTGGTCGTGAACTCCTGACCTCAGGTGATTTACCTGTCTCAGCCTCCAAAGTGCTGGAATTACAGGTGTGAGCCACCGCACCCAGCCACACAACTTTTTTTAAAAAAGAAAAATCCCAGTTGGGCATGGTGGCACATGCTTGTAGTCCCAGCTACTTGGGATGATGAAGTTGGGGAGCACTTGAGCCCAGGAAGCAGAGGTTGCAGTGAGCTGTGAATGTGCCACTGCATTGCAGCCTGGGTGGCAGAGCAAGACCCTGTAGCAAAAAAAAAAAATAATAATAAGAATAATAAATAAAAATGAATGTAATTGGTACACTTGGGAAGCCGATGTTAAGGTGTGGGCTTGAGTAGGGAAGAATAATTTGTCTTCATTTCGCTTAAATTACACTTGATATGGCTCATTAGAAAATACTCTCCTGGGTTTTTAAGCTTGTGATAGGTCAGGGCCCACCCAGTGTCAAGCACTTACATTGGGAATAGAACTTTGTCTAAACCTTCATCAATGAAGAGGACTTCCTTTGGAAAGCCAGAACTAGGAATGGTGCATTCTGGGTTTTAGCCCTTTCAAATGCCATTGTCATTTGCAGTCAGAAGACCTGGACTCCAATGCCTTAGGCAAATCTTTGTACCTCTCTTAGCTTTCTACCTCACGGAATTGCTCTCAAATGGTACATTAATATGGCCTTAATAACCTGCAAAATTTTATTACTTAGTGGCCGTATGCATAACAGAATTGATTATTACTTAAAAGTTATTATTAAGAACAGTCAGTTTAGGAATTTCTGCTTTGAGACAACTGGTCTACTCTCTTTTCCCTTGGTTCAATTTGATTTTCCTTAGAACTTTAGAGCATAGCAATGATCATTTTACATATTGCTCCAAGTTATCTGAAAGTTAATCTAGTGGGATTATTATCTTTATTTTTAAAGTAAGAAAACTCACAGTCAGAAATATCAGTGCTTTCTCATAAGACACACATCTACCAAACATGACTGGATTGTCTATAGTCTACAAACGTGCCTTCTGTGTATTATCTACTCACTAATTAGTATTAACAAAAGGTTTAAATTGTCTTATGTTTAGGTTTATTGCTCATGCACTTTTCTTGTCAAATTCATTCTAGGATAATTCTATACTCTTAAATATTTTAAAAAACAAAATCCATTTCCTAAGCCATTTCTAATTCTACAATTAGATTTCTAAAACATTTTTAAACAAATCTGAAGATCAGTATAACCATGTTGTATCCTAACCCCTCCCAAACTGCTTAGATTCTACATACTTCTGGGTAGAGGAAGAAGTTGTCAATTTCATGACTAAAAGTTAACAGCAGATCATGGCCAACAGCTGAGGAGGTAGCTGTGTTATATGATGGAAAAAGGTCTGACCCTAAAGACATGAGACCAGTCACCCAGTCATGTTTCTGACATTTGGTAGATGTGTGCCTTATAAGAAAGCACTGATGTTTCTTTAATTTATTTATTTATTTCGAGATGGAGTTTTGCTCTTGTCACCCAGGCTGGAGTGCAATGGCACGTTCTAGGCTCACTGCAACCTCTGCCTCCCAGGTTCAAGTGATTCTCCTGTCCCAGCCTCCCGAGTAGCTGGGATTACAGGCATCCACCACCACGCCTGGCTAATTTTTGTATTTTTAGTAGAAACGGTTTCACCACGTTGGCCAGGCTGGTGCACTGATGTTTCTGATTGTGAGTGTTCTTACTTAAAAATAAAGATAATAGCTCACCATATTAATTTTCAGATAGCTTTGAGAAATATATAAATGATAATTACTGTGCTCTAAAGTGAAGTCTAAGGAAAATCAAATTGAACCAAGGGAAAAGAGAGTAGCTCAGTTGTAAGCAAATGGTACTTAGTAAATATTTACTGGTTTGCTTAAAATACTACAAAGGAAGAAATTTCTGTGGAATGTAATCCATAGAGCAGTGTAAAGATGTTTTGGTTAGATAGAATTAGAGCATATTTGGAGAACATGGAAAAGACAGTGAAAATAGATTCCTCTTATTCAAATGCTTTTTTTCCGTACTACACACTGCTACTAGAATAATTTTCCACAAACACACAGGTGATCATGTTACCCTAGTACTAAAACACACTGACATTTTTGCACTGATAACCTAGTGAATAAAGATCTAAGGTCCTTCACAGAATAGACCAAACTCCCTTTTCTGCACTGTCAATAAATGGGTAGCAATTGCTAATCAGTCCAAGGTTTCTTTTCAGAGTCATGAAAGTGTTCTAAAATTGACTGTGGTAATGATTGCACAACTTTGTGAATATAGTTAAAAACATTGAATTGTGCATTTCAGATGTGAATATTGTGTGGTATTGAATTATATATCAATAAAGTTCTTTTTCTTTTTTTCTTTTTTTTTTTTGAGATGGAGTCTCACTCTGTTGCCCAAGCTGGAGTGCAATGGTGGTGAGATCTTGGCTCACTGAAACCTCCGCTTCCTGGGTTCAAGCAATTCTCCTGCCTCAGTCTCCTAAGTACCTGGGATTGCAGGTTCCCACCATGATGCCTGACTAATTTTTGTACTTTTAGTAGAGACAGGGTTTCACCATGTTGGCCAGGCTGGTCTCGAACTCCTAACCTCAGGTGATCTGCACACCTCGGCCTCCCAAAGTGCTGGGATTATAAGCATGAGCCACCACCCCTGGCCTAAAGTTCTTATTCTTAAAACTCTCCCTTTTCAGGTATTGTTTTCATAAAAATTATTTCTTATTTGTTATTCTAGTACATATACTCTACTATAAGCACAAAGGACCACTTATTTTTACATGAAGATCCACTTTCTTTATGCCTTTATTTGTGGTGTTCCTTCTCCGCTAGTTGTACAAACTCTACCTCTTGAATTCCTATACATTTCTCAAGGCTGGGATTAAGTACTCTCTCTGCCAAAGAACCCTGCTTCAGTACCACTTACCATGAAATTAAAATGTCCTTCTTTAATGTAATCAAACATATTTTCTCTCAAAATTCTTATTTTAAAACAAATGTCATTGTGTAAAAATATTGTCTGATTTCAATTTTTGTTTTGTTTTAAAATAAAAGTGACATCAACATTATAAGAATGTCTCAACATATGTCAGTGGTCCACCTCCCTTAATCTGTAAGGCATCGTAATTTATTTGCTTATGTATCCCTTCAGTTTCCTCTAGCCTTGTGCTTTTTTTTTTTTTTTTTTTTTTTTTTTTTGAGACGGAGTCTCACTCTGTCACCCAGGCTGGAGTGCCATGATCTTGGCTCACTGCAAACTCTTCCTGGGTTCAAGCAATTTTCCGGCCTCAGCCTCCCAAGTAGCTGGGATTATAGGCACTCACCACCACACCCAGCTAATTTTTGTATTTTTAGTAGAGATGGGGTTTCACCGGGTTGGCCAGGCTAGCCTTGAACTCATGACCTCAGGTGAAACACCTGCCTCAGCCTCCCAAAGTGTTGGGATTACAGGCGTGAGCCACCATGCATGGCCTTAGCCTTATGCTTTTCATATAACACTCACATAATAAGTGTTTATGAAATTTGATGTAATTGCTGTAACATAGAGAAATTACCTGAGCAAAATATTTATTATGTTCACTACTACATTGGCCTAGAAAAAATTGGAGATGTTAAAAAAGGTGAATATTCATCTCATAAAGCTTCATGTACTGTAATTTAACACCAAAGCGTGATAAACTTACTAAATACTGAAGAATGTATTTTTTTACAACACAAGCTAACATTTGGATTCATCACACCTTACTGCTAAATTTCACATTCCTTTTCTTTCCTGCTGTCTCGAATTAGAGCATTCTGCTTATCCTCTAGGATTATTGACACGTTTTCTAGGACAGATTTTGAATACCATTCTGTATTTGTTTGAAAGTGAATTATTTCTTTTCCTACCTTCATATCTAAAAAGGTGAATTCATTCTAAAAGGAGAAATAAAAGACATACTTATTCTTTTAGCAGGTTTATTATTTATTATTCCAAAGAATTTATATAAATGTGCTTCAAGATGTTACTGAGTTTGTATCATACTGGATTTCCTAAAATGGAAAATTATTGGTTTTCAATTTTTTTGGTACATCATCTTATTTTAGATGATCACTTTCTCATAAATAATATTCACTAGATTTTGTATTTCTGTGCAGTATTCTCTTCCTATATTGACATATTTTCTCAATGCAAGGATGAAATCCTCAGCCTTTGGCTCCTGATGTATTGTGATGTGCTTTGCAGAGTTTCTCTTGGGTTGCAGATGGAGAAAGTTGCTCTGATGGAGAGAGATTTTCACAAGGAAGCACATGTTGTGACTTGATACTTGATTACTCATTTTATGTGTATATAAATTGACATTATAGTTATAATATTTCTATTTAATGTAAGGTAGATACTATAAATTTAAAGGAAAAAATGGGTTCATAGAAGTTAGATGAGGCTGAGGCAGGAGAATGGCATGAACCTGGCGGGCAGAGCCTGCAGTGAGCCGAGATCGTGCCATTGCACTCCAGCCTGGGCGACAGAGCGAGACTCCATCTCAAAAAAAACAAACAAACAAAAAAAGAAGTTAGATGACCTTCTCAGAGTGACACAGCTAGTAACTGGCAGAGGGGGAGTTCAGAAACTCAGATGTATTTGCTCCTAGAACTTGTGCCTCTGTAACTTGCACAAAGCTTCAGTGCTCCACTTAGATGACTTTTTTCTTTTTTCTTTGTTCTTTCCTTTTGAGACAGGGTCTCACTCTGTTGCCCAGACTGGAGTACAGTGGTGCGATCTCAGCTCACCACAACCTCCAGCCTCCTGAGTTCAAGCGATCCTCCTGCCTTAGCCTCCCGAGTAGCTGGGATTACAGGCATGTGCCACTGCCGCCTGGCTAATTTTTGCATTTTTAGTAGAGATGGAGTTTCACCATCTTGGCCAGGCTAGTCTCGAACTCCTCACCTCAAATGATCTACCTGCCTTGACCTCCCAAAGTGCTGGGATCGTAGGCGTGAGCCACTGCACCTGGCCGTTAGATGCCTTTCTTAACTTCCAAATCCATTAAGTCTATTCTCTTTCCAAATACTTATCACTTATACAACTATAAGCTAATCTCAGTTCTTTTTTTCAGCTACTGGTTATAAAATTATTATTACATTTCAATAGTTGTCATTGAGTCATTTTGACAGCTTCATACATAAGTTTGCAGATGCTCACAAGTGTTAGTTACCGGTAAAAAAAAATTTCAGGATAACTGAAGTATATTAACTTATTTATATGTAATAACTGAAACCAAATTGGGATATTATTTGCTGAAATAAAGTCATCTTTCTGGGAAGTCACTTCTTAGAGAATGGTTGTATATTTTATATATAATATCAGTTACTATATTTCCAAATGTTAGAATTAGAGTCCAGAAGTTTTTAAAAATACAACTGGATTTTAAAATACGGCCACCATTTCTGACATATCAATATTAGTTAATGTTTCTTGCTATGTACATAAAAAGTATGAAAAAATATGCACAATAAATAAACACTTCCTTTATTCCCTTGTTTTGCAAGCACATCCTGCCCAGACGTGCTCTCCTGTGCCATGTTAAGAAATATGGATGAATCAAATTTCCAGCTATTGTAACAAAACCATAATTCATCTCCATCTATATCGATTTTACTCTTCTTATTGGGTATATGGCTGCCAAGCCAGATTATATTTCCCACTATCTTTGCAATTAGGTAAAGTCACATGGCCTAGTTCTTTCCCAGGGGAAGGTGTGCAGAAGCAATGTGTGTTGCTTCTAGACCTGGGTCTAAATACATTGAGTATGTTTTTTCACCTTTTGCTCACATCCTGCACTATTTGGAACCCAAATATTATGTGACCAACTTTGGCAGTAACATCAGACAACACCTATGCATTAGGAAGATGAGCAGTAGACTTGAAAGGAGGTCAGGGCCATAATTGTCAATGAAATGTTGCTGACCTAGGCATTCATATTCAGTTAAAATTGAGAAATAAGCATGGTTTTTAAAGTTATTGTTTTGTTGAGCCTCTGTGTTATATCATCTCAGCTTTTGGTTAATGAGAAACAAATTCCTTTTTCTTTGTGTTTCACTTGGGTAATTCATACCTATCCTTTACATCTAAACTTTGATATATTGCCTGATGGATCCCTTAACACAAGCTTAGTGATCTTACTTATGTTTTTCTAATGGTATCTGGTTCTTTAAAATATTACCGAACCTTTATTAAATATTTACATATCAGACACAATTTCAAGCATATATGTTATCCTATTTAATATTCTTATTGAATATTATATTCAATAATAGGCTAAAAGAATCTCCATATTCTAGATGAACCTCTGTATAGATGAGAAAACAGTTACGGAGAATCTCCGTATTATAGAGTCTCAATGATGAGAAAACAGTTACGGAGAATCTCCATATTATAGAGTCTCCATATTATAGATGAGAAAAACAGTTATAGAGAGGTCAAGTACGGTTGTATTTACCAAAAGAAAGCTGCAACAATGTTTCTTATCTTACGTGTGCACTCTTATAATGTGACTATAACACTTCCTCTACTGAAAGATAGGTTCTATGTTTCTTATCCCTGAATCTGGATGGATTTGTCACTATAGAAGAGATACTCTGTGACTTCCAAAGCTAGACTGGGAACTGTATCAGTGGCTCCCCACTGGTTCTCTTTAAGCACTCATTTTTGGACTCTTGAGCCAGCTAAAAGGTCTGAGGCTGCCATGCTCTTAGGAAGCCCCGATAACAGAGACTGGGTATAGCTAATGTCTGGCCAACAGCCCCAGCCCGGGCCCCAGGCAGTGTCTACTGCTAGATATGTGAATAAGAATACCTCCTGATCATTTGATCATTCCAGCCCTCAGCCATAGTCATCTTGAGAGTTTTGAATCCTCTTAGTTGCAGTTACAAGCAGTAGAAATATGTTATCATTATGTTTTTTTCCTAAATCCATGACCATGGAATATGTGAATGTAATAAAATGACTGCTTTAAGCTGCTGATCTCTGGTGTAACTGGAAAATTGCCCAAAGTAAAAAAAAAAATATATATATATATATAGTAAGCAGAAAATCTGAGATTTAAATCTAAAAACTCTGATTCCAAAATCTTTAGATACTATATCACTTGTGCTTAGTTTCTGTATAGAAAATGCCTATTTATTTGTTTTTTACTCCAAGTCAATTTAAAAACTACATTAACGCAGGGCCTTTTCTTATTTACTCTGAGGAAACAAGGATTTTTATTTTTATTTTTATTTTAAATTTCTGTACCCTATAGCCCAGTACAGTGGCTGAAACATACTAGGCACTAAACAAATGTTATCTTAATGAATAAATAATTGTTAGCATTTATGATTGGAAGATCTGTGAATAGTGACTTCACCTTGTGAAATTCCATAACCACCTAATATAAGCTAATGTTTATGAACCATCTACCAGTTGACTAATACCATGGTAAATTGTTTACAAATGTTATTTCCTTTTTACATCCCCATAATGTAAGCATTATAAGAGACCCATTTTACAAATGAGGACATGGAGACTTTGAATTAATAGTTTCCTCAAGCCCCACAGTTATTAAAAGAAAGAATTTGAATCTGGACATTGTTTGATGCCATTCCATGCTGGATAATCTCCATTTACCTCTCCTCCTCTCTACCCTTCACCATTCTGCATTTTAAGCTGAGAGGCTGAACTCTATAGACTGTACCAATCAGTTCCTCTTTTCTTCTGGCTTATGATTAGGTTGAACACATAGAAGATACCAGCAGAAGACAGAGTGCCAAATAAGTTAGAGGTTTATGGTATTCATTTAGCTGTCTCTCCACCAGGCTGTGGGTTCACAGTGATTGTATGGCTCTTATTAAGGGTCCCAACTTCTGTAGAGAAGCCTTCTTCTTAGCTAATTTATTTCTGGGTTCTAATCACAAGTTCCCCCTACCATTGTCCTCAGGCCTGGTAATGGTAGTCACTTCCTGCTGTTGCCAGCCATGGATTTTTCTTAACCTTTTTATTTTTTTTTTATTTATTTATTTATTTATTTATTTATTTATTTATTTATTTATTTATAAGACAGAGTCTCGCACAGTTGCCCAGGCTGGAGTGCAGTGGCGCGATCTTGGCTTACTGCAAGCTCCGCCTCCCTGGTTCACGCCATTCTCCTGCCTCGGCCTCCCGAGTAGCTGGGACTACAGGCGCCCGCCACCATGCCAGGCTAATTTCTTATTGTATTTTTGGTAGAGACGGGGTTTCACTGTGTTAGCCAGGATGGTCTCAATCTCCTGACCTCGTGATCCTCCTGCCTTGGCCTCCTAAAGTGCTGGGATTACAGGCGTAAGCCACCACACCTGGCCGGATTTTTCTTAACCTTTTTAACACCTTCGTAAATATTCCTGCATTAAACTCTGTTTACTTATTCCTTTTGAGTGTGCCTTCTGCAGATCTTCCCTAACATAGGTGCAACAGGACAGGAGAAAATGGAGACACATATAGCATATGCCTAGATATCTTGAAACTGAAATCATTCTATTAAATAAACTATTTTAAATTTTTTCCATTCTCCTACATGGGCAAATGCATCATTACAAATGACCTAGCAGACCAGATATGAATATATGATTATTGTATCTCTTGGAGTTGCATGCTAGAAAATGGAGCCACGTTGGCTTGCCTCTCCCTCCTCCTTTATATGCACCCATCCTGCACCTTCAGAGGCCTCATGTACATGTGTGTAGGTACCCTAGCCTGTATATTTAAGCTCTGCAGACACACAGTTATCTCTTGGCCACCCATTGAGCTTATGAGTTTACATACTTGTGATGTGTTCTGCCTTTTTATGAGTTAAATCTCTTGAAAAGGCCAATGAAGAACCTCCAAGTCAGTATAGGCTGCAAGGGCAGAAAATTTCATATGTACCAAGTACCTGAAGAATGCTCAAGAAGAAGGGACATGGGTTCCTGGAAGACATAACCCATTGGACTACAGACCCTTTGTCTCATGGGGTGGGATGTGAGTAGAAGAGGACCAGAGAAGAGTCCTCCAGAGCATGGAGTTCCTCTTTGGTAGTCTATGACAGAATAGGTAATCTCTGTCCTTTCTATCCCTGGCTAATCTATCACCTCTCATCCAATAGATTTCATAGCTCAAGAATCATGGAATATTTATTGGTGAAGTCAATGATTGGTTGATATCTACATCTTCTGAGCAGATATCTTGATTTATTTCAAGATTTAAAAATAGCTGTAGACATAGAATTTTTCCTTTTATTTTCTTTGAATTTGGAAGTTTAGCTAATAGCTATCACCATAAATGTCTTAGGGTATGCACCACTTGCCACTTGCTGCAAAAGTAATTTTGTGCCAGACAGTTTATTCTTTATATTTCCAAATAAGCAGTCTCCCTAAGGAGGAAAAAAAATTCTACCAGAAACTTCACCAGGACTCTAGGTGACAAACAAAGTACCTATCCAACTACTGATGATCTGTCTTTGGTTTCAGAAAAACCCTAATAAAAGCAAAGCCAGATTTAAATATATATATAATATTAACATATAAATATATATTATATATAATTTATATATTATATTATATATTTAAATATAATACATATTTAAATATAATACATATTTAAATATACATTATATATTATATTAATATTATATATTAATATAATATATAATTATTAATATTATATATTATATAATTATTAATTATATATTATATATAATAATTAATGATTATATAGTATATAATATTAATAATTGTATATTATATAATATTCAATATATATTAAATATTAATATATTTCTAATAAAAGCCAAGTTTAAATATATATAAAATTAACATATGTAAATATATATTTGTTATATATTATATGTAATATTAACATATATAAATTTATTATATATTTGTTATATATTATATATTAACATATAAAATATATTATATATTTGTTATATATTATATATTAACATATAAAATATTATATATTTGTTATATATTATATATTTATATATTATATATTAACATATAAAATATTATATATTTGTTATATATTATATATTTATATATTATATATTTAACTATAATATATATTTAAATAAATATATATATTTAAACAATATACATTTAAATAAATATATATATTTAAACATAATATACATTTAAATAAATATTATATATATTTAAACCTGGTTTTGCTTTCATTAGAATAGCTATATATATATGTCTGCTTCTAAATCTTAGGAATAGATATATGACTATTCTTAAGATCTAGAATTCTAAGACTCAAACTGTTGTATTTTATAGTTATTATTAGTAATTTGGAGTATTGACTGATAATGTTTTCCCCCTCTAAAGAAGTTAATCTATGTATTCAGTTAGATTTTTCACCTTTCCTGGAAGAAATAAGACTCTTGCAGTTACTTGTAGGTTAGCAATCTGCAGTTTGACAAGCTGGTAGATGAATAATTCATTACTACCACTTTCAGATGGGAAGTGCCCACCTGCATAACCACTGTAACTCATGGTACCTGATCCCGAAAAATATTAACAGGTTGAGTTGATCAAAGTGGCAGATAGCTACTCTGGGCTTACTTTATGGTTCAGGTACTCCCCCTTAAGAAGGCCATGGAGGGAGTGGAAAATGAAAAGAGGATAAAAATCTAGCAGTGAACTCTGGTTGAAAAATGCCGTGTTCAGGTTGCAGTGTTCTGAGCAAATAAGTAAGTTAAATGGCAATGCTTTACTATGCATGTATTTTTATTTTTAAATAGAATATAAAAATTCCTTATCCTGCAAAGAGATCAATTTAGTTTCATATTTCTTAGGATGACAGAATCACTAAATTAGGGAAGACATGAAGATCGGTGCTATTTAAAGCACGGTCTATGGGCTGGCATCAGTCAGCAAACTGTTGACTGTTGGTTCATGATGACATAAGCATAGAAGGTAAAGGCATTTAAGACTTCTATAGCAATTTGGGTTTAATTTTCTTTAATTTCACAAATGATTAAGAAAACAACTAGCCTTTTAACATTGAGAGTTTAAAAAAACTGCTCTAAATTACATACATCTGATTCATTTATCCAATCATTTATTCTTCAAGTCAAAAAACTATTTTGAGCACCCATGATGTGGCAGTCATTTTACTAGAGACTGGAGATAGAATGGTGAAAAGGCCAACTGTGTTTTCTTGCGCTTGGTAAAGCTCAGAGTCCACTTGAAGGGACAGATATTAATTACATTTTTACATAGATAACGGAATTACAGTTCTGGAATGAAGACATACAGAGTAATATAGGGCTGGAGAAGGATTTTCTTAAAAAAATCCTAAGAATACACACGCGCACACACACACACACACACACACACACACACACTAGTTAAAAGGAGGATGAAGGAACATTCTAAACAGGAGAAATTGTAAAACAGCCCTGGGCAAGAGGAAGCACAACAAGCAAAAAAAAAAATTATATATTTATATATAATATTTGTTTATATATATAATGTTTGTTTATATAATGCTTGTGTGTGTGTGTGTATATATATATATACATATATATGTATATACATATATATATGTGTATGTATATATATATATACACATATATATGTATATACATATATATATGTGTATGTGTGTATATATATATATATATATATATATATATATATATATATATATATATAATGTTTTGGTCTAAACACAAACCTGTGAAGGACTGGGGCGTGGTATGGCAGGTATGCTAAACCAGACTAAGACCCTTGTGGGTCATATTAAAGGAATGTTGCTTTTATTCTAAGACTAGTAGAACAGCATGAAAGAATTTTAAGGAGGAAATAAATGATAAGGTTATATTTTGAAAAGTCTACTCTTATTTATGAACAGAAATAGATTATTGGGCATGTAGAGAAAATTAAGAGGGGTTTAGATTATTTATTTATTTATTGAGAGAGGGTCTCATTCTGTTGCCCAGGCTGAACTGCACTGGTGCAGCCACAGCTCACTGCAGCCTTGACCCCCTGGGTTCAAGTGATCCTCCCATCTCAGCCTCTAATATAGCTGGGACCACAGGTATGTACCACCATGCCTGGCTAATTTTTTGTATTTTTAGTAAAGACAGGGTTTTGCCATGTTGTCCAGGATGGTTGCAAACTCCTGGGATCAAGCAATCTGCCTATCTCAGCCTCACAAAATACCAGAATTATAGGTGTGGGCTATCACACCCAGCCTAGACTCTATTAAAGGTTGAATTGTACCCCCAAGAAAGATATGTTGAAATCTTAACCTCCAGAATTTGCACTTTAGAATGTGACCTTACATGGAGAGTAAGTCTTTACGGAGATAATCAAGGTAAGATGATGTCAGTCTTTAGGGTGGGCTCTAAATCAATTTCATGAGTTTCCATATAAAAGAGGGAAATTTGGACACAGATATATACATGTTTAGAAGGAAGATAACTTGAAGACAAACAGGGAGAAGACAGCCTTGTGATTGAAGAGATGCATATACCAGCTGAGGAATGCCAAAGATTGCCACCAAACATGAGGAACTAGGAGACAGGCAAGGAAGAGTTCTCCCCTACAGCCATCAGAGAGAGCATTGCCCTGCCAACACACAGATTTCCCACTTCTAGCCTCCAGACCTGAGACCAATTTCTGTGGTTTTAAGCTACCCAGTTTTTGACAGTTTATTATCGTAGCCTTAGGAAACTAAAACAGATGCTATTGCAGAATGCTAGGTAAAAGATGACAGACCTGGATGGAAATGGCAATGAAACAGAAAAGTGGGTCCTTACTCTCAGAATACTGATAGATATTTAGAAGATAAAATGGACAGGGCTAGATAAATGGATGCGGATGTGATATGGCGAATAAGGAAAGGAGAAGGTGTCAGTGATGATACCTAGGGATCTAGCTTTCTCAGCTAGGTGAATCATGGTGCCATTCATCAACTTTGGAAACACTGAAAGGGTATCGGGTTTGTAGAAGAAGATCACTAACCCGTATTGAGTTGTGGTGCCTTTATGCAACTCAAGAGGTAGTAGGATATAAGGTCTGAAGCTCTCCTGAAAGACCTGGGCAAAAAATATAAACTCAAGAGTCATCTTCAGAGGAGTAGTGATGAAGGAAAAAAAAGATAGAGAAAGAAATAGAAGAGAGTTTTGGACTGAGCCCTCGGGGAATACAAACCATTAACTATTTGCAAAAAATATGTATTTATCATCCAAACATGATGAGATCTTAATGAAAAAGCCTGAATATATAATGTTTACACAAGCATGCATGCACACACAAACGCACATACCATTATATAATGTGTGTTTGTATACATATGCATATATATATATATATAAATGGTCTTAAGGGTACTCTATTACCATGGAAGTCAAAAGTTGAAGATATGTTTACTCCTGCAGAAAAAAATATGTGGAAATTAAACAAGATCAGTCAAATGAAAAAAGCAAAGGCTATTTATTTGGACCTTGCGAGAGCAAGAGAGGAAGCCACTGTTACTTGCATTTAATCAGCAACTGCAAGGCAGGCGCAAGAGTGAGAAAGCTTTACAGTGGAACACAAAGAGAAGACTTTAGGTGTTCTCTGATTGGTGGCTGCTGGCATGGGGAAGCTGCCATAATTTGGTTATGGTATAGCTGGCATAGGCTATACCATATGGTTAGCTGGCATAGGCTAACCAGAAGTGGGACATCCTATGTAACGGTGTATATTTGGCTTTCTTCGATTGGCCTTAAGTTAGAAGTAGAAACAAAAAATTAGGAAATCTGTTAGTTATCACTCCAGTCCTGGACATTTGGGGCTGTTGGTTATAGAAGCTATTATTTAGCTTACTGAATTGCTATTAGAGATACCAATTCTCTGGCTCTGATCCCTGGTACTGTGATTATACAAAGTGCCATAATTAGAGGAAGCTGTCTGAGGGACATGTAAAAACTTCTGAACTAATCTTGCAACTTTTCTGTAGTCAAAAATTTGTTTAAAATAAGAAAAATTTAAAACAGAGTACATAGTGAATATTTCTAGATAGAAGATTTCAGATGATTTTATTTATGTATGTTTATTTACTTCTATATATTGCCCAAATCAGTAAACATTTTATTTCTTTGAAATAAAAATAATTTAGAAATTAAGATTTAAGACACCTAAATGCTGCCCAGACATATGTGTCTTGTGAACTGAACCTCTGGTTTTCAAAATAATAGCATGGTCACCTAACTAATCTGTTAATTTGAGGCTTATGGGTTAAGAAATACAGATTTGAAACATTGATTATTTTTAAAGTGTGATGAATCTTGAAAAAAATTTGAAGGATATTTCTTGAATAATACTCATAACATCGCCAAATGAGAAAAGAAGGAAACTTTATGGAATGACTGTGTTGTGATAAACTAAAACCCAGATATCAAAATGGACCATAAACTGAATACTCACGAATATTGAAAAGTAATGAGAGCTTAGCAATTTTTAAAATGTAAAAAGAAAACATTTGATGACTCTGGAATTTAGAAACAAGCATATAATAAGCATTACTCTGAAGTAGTATTGATTAGGACATTATTAAAGAACTGTATACTATTATAGAAACTGTAGTTTTAAAGAACAGAGTTGAAATGCAACTGGGGACAGTACCCAAATCAGTAGTACAGGAGAAGTGTAAAAGAATTCAGATTTAATGTAGCTTAGAATGTTTCCAGAATATGATAGTTATGGGGCATGAAAGACCTATGGAAAACATAAGGCATTATCCCTGACTTCCAGAAATTTACCAGATGTGTTAATAAGGCAATATGCTCATGAGACTGGAGGAGAAACTATGGTGAAGAGATAAATACATTGTGCTAACATATTCTTTACAATTAGCACTATGGGAAGTCAGCAAAGTGAGAAATCAGAGTTGAATAGAGTTATCAGGGAAAGTTTCACAAAGAACTAGACAACAATGCATCCATACGTGTCCATGTGTTTTAGCTGGAAAAAATAGACGATGGATGTCAAAAATTGGTCTTATACTTTTGGCTTACTCATTTCACATCATCATTTTTAGGAAACAAATATTATGCTAAAAATATTCTGCCCCAAATAACAAAGCGTTAGAATCAGTGTGATTATGTACCACAGATATTTTCTTTTTAGAATAATAATAATAATAATAGTAATTGGCATTGTGGAATATCATTTTGTATTAAATACTACGCAAAAAATGTTATGTATATTTTCTTCATCCTGACAAGAGCCATTTGAAATAGGTATTATTATTATCCTCATTTTTAGAGTTAATTTTATTGGCATTTCAAACACATAAAATAACTTGTTCAAGTCAATCAACTGATAAGTAGTCAGCATCCATGTTTGTTTGTCACTAGCATTTAAACTCTTCTCTAATATTCCATATTGCCTTTCCATTCTTTTGGAACTGCTGCAAGAGTGAAGGCATGAACTCAATCCTACATTTGATCAACTAGCAATTAGATGAAGAGCTACCTAATACAAGTATTTTATTTGCCTCTGCCCTGAACTAAATTCTTTAAGCCAAATTGGTTTAATCACAGTCAATTCCACCTGTAAAGGTCAGTGTTGTGATTTTCTCTAACTTGATCTTAAGGTCTCTCTTCGGAGAGTGGCTATAAATTTTAGTCCTCTCCTGATGGGGCTCCAGGGGATGGGCCATGGATGTTTACAATGTGCCTTTCATACTATATTTCTTTATACTGGCAGGGAGCCTAACACCTAAGTATCCAACTTGTAACCAGGTGTTGCTCTCACAGGAAATTTGTTTATACTAGAAGACACTCTTGTGACTCTTGTCTGACCTGTGTTCAGTTTATTATTACCAAAATATCTACTCTCTAGGAGAGACCTGACCGGGAGGAGAGTCAGGGTTGGGTGTGTCTGTGTCATTCAGGAGAGACACAGAGAAGGCAGAACAATGAAACACATAAAATAACAAAATCATTTTATTACTCATTGATCCTGATCCGTGAGAGAAGAAGGGTGCCCACAAGGGCTCACAGAAAGTCCTGAGGTAGAACGAAGCTCAACCAGTGGGTAGGTGAAGAGGGAGAGAGGGAGACAGAGAGAAAGAGAGAGAGAAACCTAGAGGTCTATGGAAGTGATCTCTTTGCCTTCCCCCGGGGATTGTGGATTGGATAGTTTACAGAAAACATAAGTCTCGTATTAACCATTAAGTTAAGTTTTATTCTTATTCAGCAGCTCTAAAATGTGTTGAGTTTTGGGTCGGTAAAATGAAGAATAAACAGGCTATATTGCAAACAACCACACAAGAAGGGGAAATTTTAACTAGGCCAAAGGTGATGGGGTATCGCTGGGTTTCAGATAACTTATGCTATACATAAAAATGGATGCCGAGATAGCAACTATATTAAATCAATTTATGACAGTCAGATTTCTGTGCTAGATCTTGTTTAATGTTATAATCTAAGGCCAATCCCTTGTTTTCACCTTGTCTCTGAGCTCCTGAGAGATTATACTCATGTAAGCTCTCAATGGTCAGGAGAACTTATCTTCATCATATGGATTTTTATTTTGACTCACCATAATGGTTGGCTTCTGAAATTCTATATAGGAAGAACTGAGTGATTTTATTTTCAGAGAGTATGTTGGAGAGAACAAGGACCAGAGAATTTATCTTGAATCTGCATTTGCATAGCATGTGCACTATTTCAGAATTAAAGTAATTTTAGACTAAATGCACAATTTATAGAAGATTTCATAAATATTACTGGACTACATTAATGATTATTATTATTATCCTTTTATATTAGCTCACAATGGAGAAGACTGATAAATTTGCAGTGATAAATTGTCACTGACATTGATTCTATTTTTTGACTCCTTAAGTCTCCCATTTCCATCACAACCTGCCTGTAATTCTTCAGAACTTAATACAATCCTGGGCCAGGTCTCTTACCAACAAGCCAATTAATTAATCAACATAAAGTACTTTAAGCCTCTCCAACTGAAAAAGCACTGTGTAAGCAGCCCTTGTGCACTGACAACAATTATTAAGACTGTATTTTGTTTGTTAGGGAAAATTATTAATGCATTTATGAATTCCACACTACTATTTAAGTATCTATATCTGAGAATATTAGTTATGAAAAGTGCTTTTTCATGTCTGTAATAAAGAAGAATATAAATAAGTAAATAAAGAAGAATTTATATTTCTTTAAGAATTTATTCCATTTTTGAGATGGACTATAACATCTACAGAAATGCAAATACAGTTTTATTAACCAGTGACTTAACCAATGACCCTTGGGTGAGATAAGTGCCAATGCAGTACTAATTCCTGGACTCATTGTATGCTCAGCTGTAGATAGAATACCTTCTTTGGCCACATTCAAACCATATTTTATAACAAATTTTTTCCTGTTATCTAAGTGTCAAATGCATTTTGAAATTATGTCAAATATATACTGGTAAAATGTATCTTATTTTCTATATATAGATGTGAATTGAGTTGTTTAAGCTCTGTCATTGTATCTTCCCGTTAAGGACAGGACAAAGTAAATGGGTATATATATACACAGAAAGGTTTGAAAGGTTTATGGAACAAGCTCTTGAGATCCTTTCTTTTGAAAGATTTATGGAAAGAACAAGCTCTTGAGATCCTTCCTTTGTCCTTGACTTTTGAGAGTTTGATAATCGTATGCCTTGAAATAGTCTTGTTTGAATTGAATCTGCTTTGTGTTTGTTGACTTTCTTATACCTCTATATTCATATCTTTTCTCAAGGTTTGAACATTCAAACCTCTCATTCAAACCTTTCTCAAGGTTTGAACGTTCTCTACTATTACTTCTTAGAAAAAACTTTCTATCCCCATCTCTTTCTCTACATCCTTTTAAAGGTCAATAATGTTTTGATTTTTCCTTTTGAGGCTATTTTCTAAATCTTTTGGGCATTTTTTTTTCTTTTTTTCTCTTTTCTCCTTAGATTGTGTATTTTCATGTAGGTTGATTTTGAGCTTGTTGATTTTTTCTTTTGCTTGACCTATTCTGCTGTTGAGAGACTCTGATGCATATTTTAGTTTGTCAACTTCTCAGTTCCAGAATTTGTGCTTGATTTTTAAAATTATTTTAATCTTGTTTGTTAAATTTTTCTGCTGTAATTCTGAATTTGTTTTCTGTTATCTTGAAGTTCATTGAGCTTCCTTGAGACAGCTATTTTTAATTTCCTGAGAGGTCACATGTATCCACCACTCCAGGATTCATCACAGCGTCTTATTTAGTCTGTTGGTGAAGTCATGTTTTCCTGGAAGTTCTTGATGCTCGTGGACATTGCTGTTCATTGATGTCTGGGCATTGAAGAGTGAGGCATTTATGCTGATCTCACTAAGTCTGTACTTGTTTGTAACCATCTTTCCAGAGAGAGCTTTTGAAAAATTCAAAGGGGATTGAGGGTTGTGACCTAAGCCTGTGGTCACTGTAGCATTTCAGTACTGATGGGTTCCCTAAGCTCAGTAATGCCGAGATTCTTGCAGACTCCTAGATACACAGCCTTGGTGGATTTCGGGAAGATAAGGGAGATTTCCCTGCATTCCCAAATGAAGTCTCTCATTCTCTTCCCTCACTTTCTCCGGAGTAGCAGTCTCTCTTCTGGAGGAGAGGTAATATGGGGACTCCTGTGGCCATCACAGCTGGCACTGCAGTAGGTCATACCTGGAGCTCACAACCTCTCAGACCAGCACAGTACTGGGACTTGCCAAATGCCTGCAGCCACTATTGCCAGGTTGTTGCTGATATTTATTCAAGGCCCTAGGCTACTTTAGTCAGCAGATGGTGAATTCTGCTGGGACTGGGTCTGTCCCACCAGGGAAGTGAATTCTCTCCTGGCCCTGGGGGTGGGTCTAGAAATGCTATCCAGGAGCAAAGGCCTGGAACTGGGGCTTTAGGAATCTGCTCAGTGCTTTATTTTACTGTGGCTGAGCTGATACTCAAGGTGCAAGACAACATTTTCTGCACTCTTCTCTCTCCTTCTCCTGAGCAGAAGGGGTGTCTCCTGGAGCTTCACTGCCTGGAGTTTAAGGAGGGATGATACAGGCACCAATGGGGCTGCTGCAGCTTGTATCCCTCTGGGTTGTGCCCTGAGTCCACTACCTCTAAGACCAATGAAGCACTGGGGCTTACCCAAGGACTGTAGTCATTGTAGCTTGACTGATAGTCAACTTTATTTGTGGCCTTAGGCCACTTTAGTCAGCCAGTGGTGAAGCTGGCAGGAACTTGGACTTCTCCCACTGGGATGAGAAATTTTCCTCTGACCTGGGGGTGGTCTAAATGCCTCCTCCATGGGCACCAGCATAGTTCTGCCTGGTGTTTTGCTTCACTGTGACAAGGTAGCACTGAATTCCAATGCAAAGTTCCGCACTCATCTTGTCTCAGTCCCCAAAGCACACAGATTATCTCCCCATGCTGTGTTGTCTGGGATTGAAAGAGATGTAGTGCAGGCAGTGGCAGACTTTTCTCCCCTCTGCAATGCTTCATTTCTTTTTATTATGCTAAAGCCAGGAACTGTGTTTGCTCATTTAATTTTTTGGTGCTTACATGGATAGTTGTTGAGTTTAGTGTTCCTGTGAGGGAACGATCACTGGAGGTTTCTATTTAGCCATCTTGCTCTTCCTTCTTCCTCTATCTCATTTTAATACTAGATATTATATCAGGATAAGAGGAGACAAACTGGACAATAAGGCAAGTAAGACTAAGTGTCAGTGCACAAGTTTCCATAAGAAAAAGTGAAAGACATGGGGTCAAGATTTCACAATTTTGAGAGGAGACAGGTTGTAAAGTGTTACTTAAAAAAGTATGTCTAAATAGTATCAACATTATCTAGCAAAGTCTAGTGTGAAAGCTAATCTGTAATAACAAAAATATGAAGCGTATATTACATAATATCAAAATATAACACATTCCATTATATGGTATTATATTACATTATGTCCCATTATCATATTGTAGTATTGTGTATTAGAATCTAGTTTTGCAGAACTATTGCCTATAAAATGTTTGTCCACTTCCTCCCACTGTTCACTTCACTCCCACCCCCAAAACTGCTTTGTCTGAGAACTAGTTTCCCTTTAGTGAGGATTTATGATCATTGCTCTAATGCTGTCCAGAGGGGAGCCCTGGAAGCTCATTTTCCTCAATACATCGAATATGTACATGCCACAAAATCAGCTACCTAGTGAGTTAAAACCCCATAATTGCAATAGCAAAAGGAAAATTACTCAAACAGATTTAGTTAGTCACAGTAGCAAGACTTATAACCTTTATAAAGGCCTTTCGGCCCTAATTATTCAGCAGCTGCTGCCGGGGCTAAAACGTACCCATGTCTGTAACAGTTAATTTGCAATTCCCTTCCCTGTAAGCAGGCTGTCTTTTTCTGTTGCGGTGCCTGACCTATTTTTGAGGCTTTCTACCACTACCAATAACAAAGTCTCTCTCTTGTTCTCCAACTTAAAAAAAAAAAAGATTAATAACATTTAAGAAATCCAAGGGCCTTAAAAAATAAGATTTAAAAGTGATGTAGAAGGACAAGCTCTAACCAGTTTCTACCTGAGCAACAGATACATTATGTCACCAGCCAATTCCCTGAAGGGCCAGGTTTTTAGAGGCTCTCAAGAAGTCACTGCCATAAGAGAAGCTTTCATGATAAATGATTCATCAAAGATGATTATCCATACATTTTGGTTACAATCATTGCCAACTGTTTGTTACTGCTTGTTGTGGGACTGTCAGAGCTGGGGATACTTCTCTGTCTGTTGTCATCTTGATTAGGCCTCAAATAATGAGGTTTTGAGTTGAGCAATTCTGAAACCATTTTTTTTTTTTTACCTTGGGGGTGTGGGGGGATTGTGGTGATTGAAGGCTAGATCATTATGGAAATTATTGCACAGATGTTTCCTTGAGTGATATAAACTATTGCCCAAGGTTAACAGCATTGTCAATTCCCATTGGTACTAAAACAATGATTGGTGTATTATGAACCATAGAGAAGTATCCATAGTCAGGAGATGACTGGAGTACAAGTATAACGTATCTCTTTCTTCTCAGACACAAAAATTTCCTCAAAATACAGATATTCCATTTCCACTCAATAACACCGTCTTTTTTTGACCAGAGAAAATGAGAAGAAAAAAAAGAGGTTGTTTGCTGTGTTTGTTGTTTGTTTTTGTTTCCTCTTGCGGAGAAGAAGCAATGAGTATATGGATGTATTCACTGACATATATCTCACAACACTCTCATCTATATATCTTCATAGATATAGAAACATACACAGAGAAATATAGAGATCTACAGGTATAAATATAGATATCTATGGAGAGAGACAGAGAGTGTGAGACAGATTGAGAAAGAGATTATTATATTACTACTTTCTACATTTATTGGTAAGACTGGGTACATAATTTATGAGGCCCAGAGTAAAATGAAAATGTGAGGCCCCTTGCTTTAAAAAAGAAAAGCTAGTAAGTATTTCAAGATAGTGACAACAGTGCATTAAAACCAAGCACCGAGCCCTGTGTGACTGCACTGGTCACAAGACCATGGAGCCAGCTCTGCTGGGTTCTCAGAAGATACCAAAGAGACTAGATCAGATCCAGCCTAGTTCTCTTCTTTAGCTTGCTGAGATAAATAGGAGGAGTTAAAGACAAGATCTATAGCAATATAGCTTATACTAATATTAAACTAGGGCATTTGAAGATGGGGGGGAAAGGGCCCTTTTCTAATTTGCAATAAGAACCTTTTTTTTTTATGATTGCAAATTGAACTCAAGAAGAGGGAAAATAAGGCTGGTGCTGCCTTGTCAGTGATTTAATTATTTTCCCATCTACACTTGTTTTTGAAGCTTATCAGAGCAAAGTACGGTGTGGGCAGCCCAGCTGTCACTGTTATCATTGTGGCTCGGAGTGTTGTAGTCCCGATTCCCATTGTAATGCAATTAATCTTTTGCTTTGCACTAATGGATGAACAAGCATATTTACTGCAGCATAAAATCCTAATTATTTTTTGAACAGATGCATAAAGGGAATGTAAATTAATGGCAAGTGACAATTGTGATAAATGTGTACTATATCTTTAAATGTCAGGGTTCTTGTGGTGTAGATTAAGCCCACGCTTGGATATAAAAGCTGCACCAGGCCGGGAGCAGTGGCTCATGGTGGATGCCTGTAATTCCAGCTGCTTGGGAGGCTGAGGCAGGAGAATCGCTTGAACTCAGGAGGAGAGCTGAGATAATGCCACTGCACTCCAGCCTGGGTGACAGAGCAAGATTCCATCTCAAAAAAAAAAAAAGAAAGCTGCACCACTTCCATTTACCTGTGTGAGGACACATAGTCATCATGCTCAAAATCACTTTGTAAAGGGTGACTTGTACTTTTAGAGCACATTGATTAGAAATTATAATATGTTGACAGGACTGTCCTCAGTACAATGATATTTTTCATGGGTTACTCTTGAGCTATTGGTACTACTACTTAAACAAAAATTAATTGTTATTACTTGTTATTATTTAATACCTAAAGCAACAGCAATAAATATTAAATTATTTGTTTATTCTATTTTAGCACTGTCCGGGCCACTGTCAGAAACATTTGTTTACTAAATCCTTCACAATTGCAATATGAAAAAATTTGATAAACTTTGAATAACAGAAGCCAAATAAAAAGTAGTACATATTGCCTAATTCCATTTATATAATGTTTGATTACAGTAAAAACTGATTTTTTTCTTTTGAGAAACCTGTTTCCTTTAGAGTAGGGAGTGATTGAAAGGGATGCTTCTGGAATGATGGTAATGATCTGTTTTTTGATCTGGGTGCCAGTTATATAGATGTTTTCAGTTTGTAAATATTTGCTGAATTATGCAATTGAATATGTTCACTTTTACTTATGAATATTGTACTTCAATAACAACTTTAAAGACAAACCTTCACTCTTTCTATGTTTTATGAATAATACTGATTTTAAAACTGAGATGTAGGATAGTTAAGCAACAGAGCATGCATTAAAGTTGCAAAGTGGCTGATCAATGGTCTGGATCAATGTCTGCTTTAATTTTAAGTATCATCTTCTGCCACCATAAAATTGACCTGTAGGCTTTTCTGTCCCGTCATATACAATGATAAGCAGTACTAGAAGGGCTTAAAAGGACATAATGTGGCTGGACGTGGCGGCTCACGCCTGTAATCCCAGCACTTTGGGAGGCCGAGGCAGGAGGATCACGAGGTCAGGAGATCGAGACCATCCTGGCTAACACAGTGAAACCCTGTCTCTACTAAAAATACAAAAAAAAATTAGCCAGGTGTGGTGGCGGGTGCCTATAGTCCCAGCTACTCGGAAGGCTGAGGCAGGAAAATGGCGTGAACTCGGCAGGTGGAGCTTTCAGTGAGCCGAGATCGCGCCACTGCACTCCAGCCTGGGAGGCAGAGCGAGACTCCGTCTCAATAAAATAAATAAAATAAAATAAAATAAAATAAAATAAAATAAAATAAAATAAAATAAAATAAAATAAATAAAAAAAATAAGGCATCATGTGTTTTGCTATGGAAAAAAGTGATGACACAGTTGGGGGGGAGTTGAGACTGTAATATCCCCACTTTGCCTTTTAAATTCTATTCACAATATTATTTCCAACATGGGGAAGACAAATGGATCTATGAAAGGTAAAACTGTTCCAATTTGCAAGATCACTTCGCTGATTCATCGTTACTGGAGTGAAATGCTTCCCATCCATTATTGCTCTGTCTTCTATAGATAGTAGTTTGTGTGCTAAATAGTCATGATGCACTTGTGTGATGCACCAGTAGAGTTGTAAAATATCTTGTTGGAAGCAACCCAATTAAAGTGTTATTCTCTTATGTGTACTACGTCAAATTTCTTTAACATGCCCCAAATTCTATTTTATACAGATATGTTCAGATTTCTGCCACACTTAGGGATCACGTCTCTTCCTTACTCTTTTGTTGTTGTTTCTTCTAACACCATTATATGTCTTCCTTTCTAGATGCCTCCACTGACTTTTGATGACCTTAGTCAAGATTTAGTCTAGGAGTAAAGATAGGGATAATGTGAGGATTGTTTGTGGTCTGTTCTTGTTAACCCCTTTAATAGCTCCTTGTGTTTCACACCAAAAATTTGAGAAATTCAACAAACCTACCATGATTAATTTACCCTAAATTTCCAGAAATTCCTTTGGACTGTCTTTCTATCTACCTGGATCCTCTTCAGATACTCTCTACTCTGAGTCCCTGACACCTAAGCCTGCTGTTTTCCCCTTCTTTCTGTTTATTTTGTTTCATTTGAATGTAGTCATTCAGTTTGCACATGATATGTAAACACATGTCACCTACATGTCAACATTGCTGTCTCTACCATGCTTCATTGCAAACTCAAAAAACGACAATTCCTATCTTCTCTGCAACAGACACATGAACAAATGAAATACCACAAATGAGGGTTTCTGGGATGGTAATAACAGATTCTTAATAGTATATATTTTTTCATTTCTGGTGATCCTTGTTTCAATTTCAGAGATTCCTAGCATGATTACAGTAGAATAGCAGGTCCTATTCATGAAAAACCACAGAACTCCTAGAGAAGCTGGATCCTACTCATGCCTTGGTACTAAGTAGAAATCATTGAGAAATAACTGTTTCTTCTTTATGGATAGACCATTCCATTTGGAGAAACGAACCAGGCAGAGTCAAGTAAATTGCAGAATGTCTAATAATTCCCTGATAAAATGAGCAAAATAAAGTACTACACTGGAATGAAAGTCATTTCACAAATAAAGTGTCTTTATTACTTTTCAGAGAGTCCTTGACTTTTCAGCCTTTCTACTGAGAACTCATAAGAGTAAAAATAAATTATTTTATATGATACATTTTAACAGTGTTTCAAATGAGTTTAGGACTGCTGAAGAGAAATAAAAATCCTCTCAGTTTGAAAATCTCTGAATTGTAGCCCTTTTTACCTTTGCTCTTTCATATCAATTAAAAAACCTCACAAATAATGCATATTCCATACATTTTATATTATTTGATATATTTGTATTTTCATTATGTAATTTAAATATAAAACTTACTGGTATTTTAGTTAAAATAATTCATGTGAAACTGTTTATTCAGAATATTAGAACACTAATACACATTGGTGTTAGAAAAATTAGGTGCACAAAATGATGTTTATAAAGAGTTTTAATAACATGGGAAATCCTAAAATATAATATTAAGTTTAAAAATAGCAGTACAAAAAATTTGCATGCAATTTGAACTCAATTTGTAGAACATAGGCACGGTGAAATAGACTAAAAGGAAATACACCAAATAGTAGATTACCTTGTGTGGTGTGATAATGGAGTGAGATTTTTCCCTCCAATATTCCTTTTGTGTTTTTATACTTTCTAAACTTCTACAATAAAAATATATTACATTGTTAATAAACAACCAAAACAACAACAGCAAGGAAAAAAATAAGCAAAAATCATTGCTTCTAATGTGCAGAAATAAAAATGATAATTGCCGACTGTTATCCTGTCACCACACAAAAAGAACAGACTGTGTTTTGATAGTAAATTATGTAAAATATTTCAGATTTTGCAAATAATTTACAGGTACACATGTCAGAG
Source organism: Homo sapiens (assembly GCF_000001405.40). NCBI lineage: Eukaryota > Metazoa > Chordata > Mammalia > Primates > Hominidae > Homo > Homo sapiens. Next base: position 41,662,098 of record NC_000011.10, on the reverse strand, counting down.
CTAATCCCCCCTATTTTTCCTGTTCTCTTTTAAAATACAAGTCAAAGTAATGAATTGTCATCCCCACTTAAACAGGGGAGTCTCTCAGTACCCAGTAATAGGGCCAGGACTCGGTGCAGAATCCAATGCTTCTCTCATATAAATTCACATAACGAAATATTCTCTATATTTTTAGAAACATAAATCACACACTGTTTCTAAGACTTAAGCTCTTGTCTGCCACATTTAGCTGGAGCCTAACCTAGATCAGTTTAGAGAGGAGGAGCTGAGAAGTTAATGCTACACAACTATGGACAAAAATCTCAGCTGGATTTCCTGTAATTTCTTAAGAACTTAGGCAAAATACATGGTTATACTTTGGTGGAATAATTATACTTGGTGGTTATATTTTGATGGAGTCTTCCCAAGAGTTTAAAGTGAAGGACACCTGTGCTCCTTTATTAGGTATTTTCCAGAAATAGATGTCTTGCCTAAATTAGACATAAGTGCAACTTGGAGGATGAAACTTAGTTCTAGATTTGAATGCGAAGCCACCTGCATTTCCAAATAGGAGTCTTCTACTGGTGGTTAAACTCAGATTGTCAAAGTGAACTGGTCCTTCTGTGTGAAAGAGAAGCTCATGTTCTTTTTATTCATGTCGAATTGAGGTGCTCAGTTTCTGAACAAAGAGGATGAATATTGGAAGGTTTGGTAAGAAAGAATCTCATTGAACAGACATTGTTAGATCAGTCTGTTCTCCGTTTTCTTTTGCAGAGTAGAGTCCTTTGCAATGCTAAGAACTAGTTACTACATAGATTTTTATGGTGGAGCCTGACAGATTCTATTACGGCCAGACTTAATATGAAGCCCTCAGTGATTCCTTTTGGGTCACAGATAAACTATGCCTTAGGAAATTAAGGGTATCTTTTATTTACAACACTAAATCTAAAATAATGACTGTGAAGAAACAGTGTGGATGGTGGTCTTTCTGTGACATTTTCTTGCAGGTCAAAGTATGTTGAAGTAATTTGACTACAAGAATGGTTTCTACATTAGAGATTTATGTGTCATGCTTAGCCGTGATTGTCTAATCATTTAGGAGCCAAAAGGAAGCTGACTTAGACAATAGACCCTAGGTAATTAAAAAAACAGAAAATAGGGTTTTTCATATAATTTAAAAGAGCATATGATTTAACTTAGAAGAGTAAATAATAACCGAGAAAAAAATGTTTTTTTGAATGTTTTATCATGAATGAGGAACATGTGAAAAACCCCTGAGCCGAAGGAACCACAAGCCCGCAATTGTCCTGGCCTTGCAGCCCTTCTCCTGCAGGGGGTGCCCTCCCTCCCACTCCTCTCTAGATGGGAGCCGAAGGGAAGAGGTGAATCTTAGTTGAGAACAACAAAAAATTCTGGGCTGGGTACGGTGGCTCACACGTGTAATCCCAGCACTTTGGGAGGCTGAGGCCGGCGGATCACTTGAGGTCAGGAGTTCAAGACCAGCCTGGCCAACACAGTGAAACTCCATCTTAAAAAAAATAAAAAATAAAAAGCCGGGCGTGGTGGTGCGGGCATGTAATCCCATCTACACAGGAGGCTGAGGCAGGAGAACTGCTTGAACCCGGGAGTGGGAGGTTGCAGTGAGCCAAGATCGTGCACTGCACTCCAGCCTAGGCGACAGAGTATGACTCCGTCTCAAAAACAAAACAAAACAAAAACATTCTGGAAACTCAGCAGCTGATGGGGACAGCCAGAGCCAGAAAAGTTACCAGACATCAGCTTGGCAGGCGCTATCAGGGGTAAAGGTTTGACATAGTGGCTTCCACGCTGAGGGAAAACCGCAGCAGTAGTCAGATAGGCAGGGACTGCAGGAGAGATGAGATCTGGCATATTACACCTGCGTTGACAGCATGCCTGTGCGGTAGCGAGTAGAGCAAGCTGGCTTTCCCTCTAACCTGGCAGAGGTCCCAGATTTTCACTGTTTGATCTACGGAGGCTGTGGCCAGGAACCAATCACAGCATGGGTTCGGGGCCACTTGCATCACTTTTCTTTTGTGCATTCTGAGATTCCAAAGCTGCAGAGAAGAGCTTGGTTCCTGTGGGGACACAAAACCGAGATGGGAGTGAGGATGGGAAAGGCAGGACCTGGGAGAACGCACCCCTTTGTGGTCCGTGTTCAGCAGGATCGCGTTCCCCAGGTTGTCTCCTGCGACCACCATTCACCTACTGGCAGACACATCCAGTCTACGAAACCAGATGCTGGAGGGTGAGACTGTGTTGTAAGATTCTTGGGGACAAAGATAGGCCTATTTACTCACCATTGCAGCTCTGGTAACTAACCCTCAGTGGGCATTCAATAAATATTTGTTGAATGAAAAACAAACAAACAAACAAAAAAACATGCCAGGCACTATGGCTCATTCTTGTAATCCCAGCACTTTAAGAGGCTGAGGCGGGTGAATCATCTGAGGTCAGGAGTTTGAGACCAGCCTGGCCAACATGGTCAAACCCCATCTCTACTAAAAAAAAAAATCCAAAAAAAAAAAAAAAAAAATGCGTAAGCATAATTTTCTAGTTAAATGCATGTAAGCATATTTTTTCTAGTTAAATGCCAGTTGTTTGACGTGAAATTAGTAGTGTGCTTAGTATGATGATTAAATAGAGTGGTACCTGAATGAATCAGTTATGCAGTAGCTACACATTTTATCATACAGGCTGAGTTATTGTACTAGTTTTCAAACAAATCAATCTTTATTACACAAATACCTACCTTTTCAAATCTTAAAGAAAATTCTCAAAAGTATGAAAGAGTAATAGGTTTGTTGACCACTGTGATGATTTATCAAATAAGGTAGATCATTTTCTTCAGAATCAAGAAAGAAAAAGTATAAACTGGGCATTCTCTATGGATTGAATGAAAACATATTTCATTGCATCACATACATTATTTAATTCTACAGATGGCCATGTGGGCCCATGCCAAGTTTAAACAGCCGTATTCGTCAATTTGGTTAAATTAAACAAATCACTTTCATTGAGCACCAACTTTTTGTCTGGAACTGAGTGAAATGCCAGGGATTCCATTAATGATTAAAATAGGTCTCTTGACTTAGATAAGAGCTTATACCCTGTGTAGTGCCAAAACCTGTAGCAAAGGCTGAAGAAAATATGTGTTTACCTAATTGTTTCTGACTTTATATAGACTACATTCTCAAGTAGTAAATATACAATTCATGTGTTTTAAAGCAACCCTCAGTATTCATTACAATATTTGCAGAAACATATAGCTATCTTTAAATGGACGCCTATCAATAGATAAGGCAATGTTATAATATAAATCATATAAAGAATATTTGTTACAATCTTTAGGGTCTGCTAGTAACTAATCAATACTTATAAGTAGATGTGGTTGTGACATGCTGAAAACAAAGATACCTTGGGCTGAGAAAAGATTGCTACTATTTAATTGCATTTTCCTGATTATTTAATACAAGCTGTGCCCATAGTTTCCAGTAGTTAAATGCTGAATAATAATCTTCTTTAATTCTTTCACAAATCAGCTCTAATAAGATACAAATTTCAGATGAATTTTTTCTTCTTTTCTAAACTGTGTTTTTTTAAAATTGTGTAGAATGTTACATCGGTATAAATGATTCTTTGGAAAATGCCATCTTTATTTTTTCACATACAATTCATATGTTCCAACTTCATGGAACCTAGTAGGATATGTATGTTATAAAGACTATGGCAATATCAAAACATCTATATTTCACCTGTCCCATATGTTTAAGATAGAGCTTCTAAAATATAACCTCCAGAGCAGATGTCAAATACCAAGGCCGAACCTCAATTTCATATAATAGAATGACTGTCAATGGATTATGTTAGGGGAACAGAATCTGCTTCTTTTTTTTGTGACATTGTGATTTCAAAAGAATCTTTTTGCTCTCCTTCTATAACATTTTGTCATTTACTATCTCTCCATGGGGCTTTGTGTAAAGAAGAAATATTTTTGCCTCACAGATATTTTTACCTGCCTCACTCTCAGCCACACTTAGAAAACTAACATGCAAAAAAAGAGGTTAAATAATTTAACTATAAATTTAGTAGATGTGTGTTCATATGGGAATCTTATAACACTTAAAATCACTCTTCTAGAATATTTTATTATTGTGGGGTTTGGAGCTTTCGATATGCATTTCAGACTTGGAGATAAAATATTAAGAAATCATTTATGAAGCATTATTGAGTTATAAAGGGAATAACAATAGGTTGGCCATTTAGAAGACTAGTAAGTAAAGTGAAATATATAGATTAGTCTTCCATAGAGACCTTCAGATTTGGTTTACTGACACTTGTCTCATGAAAAAGCTCTCTCTTTTCATTTCTTTCTATCTCATAAACAAATCCAGATACACAATAAAATTATTGAAGGCATTTGGAAAAAATCTATATAGGTAACTCACAAACAAGTTCACTATTCAGCTGCTGAAATGGTTCATGAAAAAAGTTATGCAGCAAAACTTATGTTAATGTAATTAGAAAAAATGTGTAATTCAAAAATTGTGAAATTAGAGAGGAAAATTTGACATTTGTGAGAAGGAAAATTGGATAAATTTTGTTCATGTAGCATATGCAACAGATACATGCTATCATTCACAATATGTTGACTTTCTATTATCTTTTTATTAATTTTTAAAAATTCATTCATTTAGTCAACAAATTTTATTGGTATCTACTCTGTACTCAATGACTACGCTAAGTTCTAGAAATACCTGTGAACCATAAGTCAAAACCAACATGGTTATTTCACACAACTTTTAATCTATGACCAATGGTGTCCATAAGAAATGGAAGAGTCAAAAATATTGTTCTTACTGTGTGATAGAGGGGTAAAACTCAATGATGATAAAGTGAAACAATGATAGAGAGACATAAAAGATAGTGTGAGAGTCTTTTGTAGGGGATTATCTCAGTTTAGAGATTTCATAGAAACCTCTCTGGAGAAGGTGAGACCTGAGTCTTAAAATAATCTTGAGAGCCTATACCATACATTCATTAATTTAAACATTCATTAATTGAAACAAAACAACCATTGGCTACCAAATTCAAACTATTTAGCCAGGCACGAAAGAACATAGAAAGGAATAAGGCAAAGCATGTGCCCTGAGGAGTTTCATAATTTAACATGTCTAGTTTGTAGAGACAGTGATAAAAAGAAAGAAAAAAGTTACAGTAAAAGTGCCTGGGAAACTAAAAAGAAAGGAGCATCATCGTCAAGGGAAGTAAAGTAATTAGGAAAATTCACCGGTAAAGTATTTATATTTTGATCTTAAAAGAAAATAGACACTTTTGACCTGGGAAGATGAAGAGATGGACTAAATGCCTTCCTCCATATTTCTCCGACTATTGTGATCATACATAAAACAACAACAATAATAATAATCTAAACTAATCTAAAAAGTTTAAATAAGAAGGCAAGCTAGAGCCCTCAGGCCTCAAGAAATGGCACAATGATGAGTTTACCGGGTGGTTGTTTTTTTTTTTTCTCATATAACCCAAGCTTGAAGGTGAAGAAGCTGGCACCCAGAAACACTAACAGGTTCCTACAAAAACAAAGCCCCAAAAAACCATGCTAATAAGACCAAAGTCTTTAAGACAATAAGTGCTCTATTCCAATGAAATGCCACATAGAACAATATGTCTCCCTTCCAGTCACATAAGCAAAGCTTGAGAGTGAAGCCAAGAGTTCCACACTTACCATGTTGTAACATGTGTCCCAACCCATCTACCAAGATAGTATCCGAGAAGGTTGAGTAGAAAGCCATGACATTCTATCCCTCCTCACCCTGCTAAGAGTAGTGGTGTCAAAGGAAGCCTGGCAGACAGCCAGGGCCTTTACCACTGCCCAGCAGTAATAAAGCCACTTCCATGAGGTCAGTGAATGCTACAAGTGTACTAATACTGCATTCATGCTTTTTCCAAGCCCCTTCCTCTAAGCAAAGATCTGCCGGTGAGCCAGAACTCTGAACTCCACCCCACAATAAGATGGAAATACTCCTTAGATGTCAACCAATTCTGAGTGGGGAAAGTTAGTTTGTGTCTCCACCTGAGTATGACCCACTCTTCCTCTGTCAGAGCAATGTCAGAAAAAATCCAGTGCAATTTCAAGGAGATATGCAAAGCTGGAAGGCTATAAATGACTAAAAATATTTTTGGGGGGCCATTTAAAACAATTGAATGTGTAAAAATTTAAGTTAGGACCTGGTAGGCTTTTGAGCAAACAGGTCCAAGCCTGTTGTAAAAAAAAATAAACAACATAGGGCCAATTTACAAGGGGGTATTTTTAACGTGTTAATATGACAAAATGCACAATGAGCAGCAAAAAAATGTTTGCAACCATGGGAAAATAGAAAGTGTCTACAAAGAAAACAAGATATAAAGAAGAATCAAATAGAAATTTTAAAGTGGAAAATTATTATAACCACAGTAAATAACTGTATGGATGAGGATAAAGGCAGAATAGAAGGATAAAGGAAATAAACAATGAACTTGAAGATAGAACAATATAAATTAATCACCTTTTAAAAAAGACAAAAAATAAACAGAAAAAAAGAGAAATAGAGCCTCAGGGACCTGTAGCATAATAACAAATAATCTAAGCTTCATGTCACTGAAGTTTTGGAAGAAGATGAGAAAGAGGGTTGACTGAAAAAATACTTGAAGATATAATGACTAGAAACTTTCCAATATTAGACCAAAAATAGAAACCTGGAGTTAAGAACCGAAGTATACTTTATAGTGGATAACGACAAATAAATCCATGCCAAAACAACATAGACAAAATGTGGAACACTAAAACAAAGAAAAAAATTTGAACCAGGAAAAAAGGAATACCTTACACAGAAAGAAAAAAAGGAAAGAGGAGAAAGAAATAAAGAGAGAGAGAGAGACAAAAGAAAAAGAAAAGAAAGAGAAAAAGAAAGAAAGAAGAAAGAGAGAAAGAAAGAAAGAAAGAGAAAGAAAGAAAGAAAAGAAAGAAAGAAAGAAAGAAAGAAAGAAAGAAAGAAAGAGAAAGAAAGAAAGAAAGAAAGAAAGGAAGGAAGGAAGGAAGGAAGGAAGAAAGAAGGAAAGAATTTGGATGGCAGTGGGTTTCTCACTATAAATCATAGAGGCCAAAAAGAAGTGACACAGTATATTTTAAGTGCCTAAAGAAAATAACTACTAATCCAAATTCCACATTCAGCAAAAATATTATTCAGGAATAAAAAGGAAATCAAGACATTCTCAGATGAAGAAAAAACTAAGGGAATTTTCATCAAAAGCCTTTGTTTAAGAAAGACTAAAAATTTTTTGAAACAAAGGAAAAGGTAGAGAAAGGAAGCTTAGAACATCAAATAGGAAGAGAACAACAGAAAGAATAAAAGTATGAGTAAGCACATTTTTCTTCTCTTGAGTTTTTAAAATTATTTTTGGCACTTGAAACAAAAACACTTTTTATTGTGGTTCTCAATGTCTGTACAAAAAATATTTAAGATAATTATATTATAAATGTTAAAGGTAAAGCTATATAAAATGAGGTAAGATTTTCATACATCACTTGAATTGTAAAACAGCAATACCAGAAGTTCATGATAATTTATGTAGGTATGGTGTCATATAGAAAACAACCACTAATAAAGCTAAACAAAGAGATATACTAAAATATACTATATAAAACCAGTATGGAACTCTAAGAAATATTTAAGTAGTTCACAGGAAGACAAGATAAATGAAACAGAGAAACAATAAAAAAATCAAATGACTGACTTAAGCTCTAATACTTCAATAATTACATTAAATACCAACAGTCTAAATATAGTAATTAAGAAAAAAATGGGTAGATTGTATTTAAAAAAATTAAGCCCAATCATATGTTGTCTACAAAAAATTCATATCAAATATAATATAGAAAATTTGAAATGTAATAATTGGAAAAAGATATGTCATGCAAACATTAATTTAAAGAAAAAAGTGGACATATTAATGTTGAATAAAGAAGTTATTCAAGCACAGAAAATTACCAGAGACAGATAAGAATATGACATAATTATAAAGGAATCAATCTACCAAAAAAGACATATTTTAAATATATATGTGCCAAACAACATAGCTGCAAAATATATGAAGCAAAATTGATAGAACCTGGAAGACAAATAGGCAAATCCATAATTATGTTTGGAGGCTTCATTATTACTCCCTTAACAGTTGTTAGAAAAACTAGGCAATAAAAACACTAAAGATACAAAAAATTCATCAACTCACTGGATCTAATCAACACTTATAGAAAACTCACCCAGCATTAGTGGAATACAGAATCTCTTCAAGCACCTATAAAAAGTGTACCAATATAGACAATTTCCTTGGCCATAAAATATCCCTTGACAAATTAAAATAAAAATGAAATCACACGGAGTATTCTATGATTGCAATAGAATTAAACTTGAAATTAATAACAGAAAAATAGCAGAATAATTTCCCAATACTCAGAAGCTAAGTAACACACTTATAAATAATCTATAAATCAAGCAGAAAGTCTCCAAGGAAATGTTTAAAATAATTAAAATGAGCAACAGTGAAAACACACCATATCAATACTTGGAGGCACAGCTTCTGAGTTCTAAGAGCTCTAAGTGCTTATATTATACAGCACTAAATGCTTACATTAGAAAATGAGGAAACATGGCTCAAATCAATAAGCTCCCATCTGGAGAATCTAGATGAAGAAGAAGGAGGGAAAAAACACAGGGCAAGCAGAAAGAAAGAAGAAAATAATAAAGAGTATAAATTCAGAAGTTGAAAATTTGAACATATATTACAACGTGGATGAATCTTGATGACATTATGTTAAGTGAAAAAAGCCAGTCAGAGAAGGACAAATATTGTATGATTCCATTTATATGAATTGCCTTGAGTTATCAAATTTATAGAGAATGAAAGTAATGTGGTAGTTTCCATATTACTAGGGGAGAAAGAATGAGATGATATTCTTTATTAGGTATGAAGATTCACTTCGGTAAAATGAAAAAGTTCTGAAGTTGGATGTGATGATGGTTGCACAATAATGTTGATGCACTTAGTGCCATGAACTGTATACTTAAAAATGGTTAAATGATAAATTTTAGGTTATTTATGTCTTACCACAATAAAAACAAAACAGCCACAAAAACAAGGAAGTTGAAAAAAACAGAAAATAAGTAATACAAAGAGCTAGTTTTTCTTAATTTAGTTCAATTGAGAAACCTCTAAGTTAGATGTATAGATTCTGATTTTCTCCCATTCTGTGGGTTGTCTGTTAACTCTACTTATTATTTCTTTTGCTGTACAGAAGCTTTTTAGTTTAATTAAGTCTCATCTATTTATATTTGTTTTTGTTACATTTGCTATAGGATTCTTGGTCATGAAGTCTTTCCTAAGACAATGTCTGGAAGGGTTTTTCCAATGTTATCTTCTAGAATCTTTATGGTTTCAGGTCTTAGATTTAAGTCTTTGATCCATCTTGAGTTGATTTTTGTATAAGGTGCGAGATGGGAATCCAGTTTCATTCCTCTCCATGTGGCTTGTCAATTATCCCAGCACCATTTGTTGAATAGGGTGTCCTTTCCCCCACTTTGTGTTTTTGTTTGCTTTGTCACAGATCATTTGTCTGTAATGATTTGGCTTTATTTCTGAGTTTGTGGTTCTGTTCCATTGGTCTATGTGCCTATTTTCATACTAGTACCATGCTGTTTTGGCGACTATGGCCTTATAGTATAGTTTGAAGTTGAGTAATGTGATGCCTCCAGATTTGTTCTTTTTTGATTTGTCTTGCTTTGGCTATTCAGGCACTTTTTAGGCTCCATATGAATTTTAGGATTGTTTTTTCCTAGTTCTGCGAAGAATGATAGTGGTATTTTGATGAGAATTTCATTGAATTTGTAGACTGCTTTTGGCAGTATGGTTATTTTCACAATATTGATTCTACTCATCCCTGTACAAGGGATATGTTACCATTTGTATCATCTATGATTTCTTTTCAGCAGTGTTTTGTAGTTTTACTTGTAGAGGTCTTTCACATTCTTGGTTAGGTATATTTCTAATTTTTGTATTTTATTTTTTTCTTGCAACTATTGTGAAAGGGGTTGAGTTCTTGATTTGATACTCAGCTTGGTTGCTGTTGGTGTTTAGCAGAGCTATTAATTTGCATACATTAATTTTGTATCCTGAAACTGTGCTGAATTAATTTACCAGTTCTAAGAGATTTTTAGATGAGTCTTTAGGGTTTTCTAGGTATATGATCATATCTCAACAAATAGTGATAGTTTGACTTCATCTTTACTGATTTGGATGCCATCTACAAAAAATTCAAACAAATAAGCAAGAAAAAAACAAATAATCCCATCAAAAGGTATGCTTAGGACATGAATAGACAATTATTAAAAGATGTACAAATGGCCAGCAAGCATATGGAAAAATGCTCAACATCACTAATTATCAGGGAAATACAAATCAAAACTGAAATGTGATACCACCTCACTTCTGCAAGAATGGTCATAATCAAAAAATGAAAAGCCCAGGCAAGATGGCCAAATAGGAACAGCTCTGCAAGACCAACACAGAAGGCAGGTGATTTCTTCATTTCCAACTGAGGTATCCAATTTATCTCATTGGGACTAGTTAGACAATGGGTGCAGCCCACAGAGGGCGAGAAGAAGCAGGGTGGGGTGTTACCTAACCCAGGAAGTGCAAGGGGTCAGGAAACTCTCTCCTCTAGCCAAGGGAAGCTGTGAGGGACCAGTCATGAGGGACGATGCTATCTGGCCAAGATACTATGTCTTTCCCACAGTGTTTGCAACCCACAGACCAGGAGATTCCCTCAGATACCTACACCACAAGGACCCTGGATTTCAAGCACAAAACTGGGCAGCCATTTGGGCAGACACAAAGCTAGCTACAGGAGTTATTTTTTCATATCCCAGAAGTGCCTGGAACACCAGTGAGACAGAACCATTCACTGCCCTGCAAAGGGGGGTGAAGCCAGGGAGCCAAGTGGTCTTGCTCAGCGGATCCTACCCACATGGAGCCCAGCAAGCTAAGATTCACTGGCTTGAAATTCTCACTGCCAGCACAGCAGGTCTGCAGTCGAACCAGGATGCTTAAGCTTGGTGAGGGGAAGGGTGTCCACCATTACTGAGTAGGTGGTTTTCCCCTCACAGTGTAAACAAGGCTACTGGGAAGTTTGGACTGGGTGGAGCCCACCACAGTGCAGCAAAGCCAATGTAGCCAGACTTCCTCTCTAGATTTCTTCTCTCATCAGGGTATTTCTGAAAAAAAGGCAGGATCCTTAGGGGATTATAAATAAAACTCCCATCTCCCTGAGACAGAGTACTTGCGGGGAGGGGAGGCTGTGGGCGCAGCTTCAGCAGACTTAAACATTCCTGCCTGCCTGCTCTGAAGAGAGCACCAGATCTCCCAGCACAGTGCTTGAGCTCTGCTAAGGGACAGACTGCCTCCTCAAGTGGGTCCCTGACCCCCATGCCTCCTGATGGGGAGACACCTCCCAGCAGGGGTCGACAGATACCTCATACAGAAGAGCTCCGTCTGGCATCTGGCAGGTGCCCCTCTGAGACGAAGCCTCCAGAGAAAGGAGTGGGCAGCAACCTTTGCTGTTCTAGAGCCTCTGCTGGTGATACCCAGACAAACAGGGTCTGGAGTGCACCCTCAGCAAACTCCAGCAGACCTGCAGAAGAGCAGCCTGACTGTTAGAAGGAAAACTAACAAACAGAAAACAATAGCATCAACATCAACAACATCAACAAAAAGGATGACCATGCAAAAACTCCATCCAAAGGTCACCAACAGCAAAAATCAAAGGTAGATAAATGCACAAAGATGAGGAAAAACCAATAGAGAAAGGGTAAAAATTAAACCAGAATGCCTCTTTTCCTTAAAGGGATCACAACTCCTCACCAGCAAGAGAACAATACTGGACAGAGAATGAGTTTGACAAATTGACAGAAGTAGGCTTCAGAAGGTGGGTAATAACCGACTCCTCCAAGCTAAACAAGCATGTTCTAACCCAATGCAAGAAAACTACAAACCTTGAAAAAAGGTTAGAAGAATTGCTAACTAGAATAACCAGTTTATAGAAGAAAATAAATGACCTGACAGAGCTGAGAAACACAGCACGAGAACTTCATGGAGCATACAAAAATATCAATAGCTGAATAAATCAAACAGAAGAAAGGATATCAGAGATTGAAGATTAACTTAATGAAATAAAGCATGAAGACAAGATTAGAGAAAAAAGAATGAAAAGGAAAAAACAAGCCTCCAAGCGATATGGGACTATGTGAAAAGACCAAACCTATGTTTGATTGGTGTACCTGAAAGTGACAGGGAGAATGGAACCAAGTTGGAAAACACACTTTAGGATATTATCCAGGAGAACTTCCCCAAACTAGCAAGACAGGCCAACATTCAAATTCAGGAAATACACAGAACATCACAAAGATATTCCTCAAGAAGAGCAACACCAAGACACATAATCGTCAGATTCACCAAGGTAGAAATGAAGGAAAAAATGTTAAGGGCAGCCAGAGAGAAAGATTGGGTTACCCACAAAGATTGAGTTACCCACAAAGATTGGGTTACCCACAAAGGGAAGCCCATCAGACTAACAGTGGATCTCTCTGCAGAAAGCTTACAAGCTAGAAGAGAATAGGGGCCAATATTCGACATTCTTAAAGATAAGAATTTTCAACCCAGAATTTCATGTCCATCCAAGCTAAGCTTCATAAGCGAAGGAGAAATAAAATCCTTTATAGACAAACAAATGTTGACGGATTTTGTCACCACCAGGCCTGCCTTACAAGAACTCCTGAAGGAAGCACTAAATATGGAAAGGAAAAACTGGTACAGCCACTGCAAAAATAAACCAAGATGTAAAGGCCGTTGACACGGTGAAGAAACTGCATCAACTAATGGGCAAAATAACCAGTTAGCATCATAATGACAGGATCAAATTCACACATAACAATGTTAACCTTAAATATAAACAGGCTAAATACCCCAATTAAAAGGCACAGACTGGCAAATTTGATAAAGAGTCAAGACCCATTGGTGTGCTGTATTCAGGAGACCCATCTCATGTGCAGAGACACAGAAAGGCTCAAAATAAAATGATGGAGGAATATTTACCAAGCAAATGGAGAGCAAAAAAAAGCAGGGTTTGCAATTCTAGTCTCTGATAAAACAGACTTCAAACAAACAAAGATCAAAAAAGACAAGAGCATTACGTAAAGGTAAAGGGATCAATTCAACAGGAAGAGCTAACTAACCTAAATATATATGCACCCAATACTGGAGCACCCAGATTCATAAAGCAAATTCTTAGGGACCTACAAAGAGACTTAGATTCCCACACAATAATAGTGGGAGGCTTTAACACTCAACTGTCAATATTAGACAGATCAACAAGACAGAAAATTAACAAGGATATTCAAGACTTGAACTCAACTCTGGACCAAGCAGACCTAATAGATATCTACAGAACTCTCCACCCAAAATCAACAGAATATACATTCTTCTCAGCACCACATAGCCCTTATTTTAAAATCGACCACATAATTGGAAGTAAAACACCTCAGCAAATGCAAAAGAATAGAAATCATAACAATCAGACCACAGTGCAATCAAATTAGAACTCAGGATTAAGAAACGCACTAAAAACTGCACAACTACATGGAACTGAACAACCTGCTCCTGAATGACTACTGGATAAACAACAAAATTAAGGCAGAAATAAATAAGTTCTTTGAAACCAGTGAGAACAAAGACACAACATACAAGAATCTCAGGGATATAGCTAAAGCAGTGTTTAGAGAAAAATTTATAGCACTAAATGCCCACAGAAGAAAGTGGGAAGGATCTAAAATCGACACCCTAACATGATAATTAAAAGAACTAGAGAAGCAAGAGCAAACAAATTCAAAAGCTAGCAGAAGACAAGAAATAACTAAGATCAGAGAAGCACTGAAGGAAATAGAGACATGAAAAATCCTTCAAAAAATCATTGAATCCAGGAGATGGTTTTTAAAAAAGATTAACAAAATAAATAGACCTCTAGCTAGACTAATAAAGAAGAGAGAAGAATCAAATACACACAATAAAAAATGGTAAAGGGGAGATCACCACTGATCCCACAGAAATACAAACTACCATCAGATAATACTATAAACACCTGTAAGCAAATAAACTAGAAAATCTGGAAGAAATGGATAAATTCCTGGACACATACTCCCTCTCAAGACTAAACCAGGAAGAAGTCAAATTGCTGAATAGACCAATAACAAGTTCTGAAATTGAGATAGTAATTAATAGCCTATTAACCAAAAAAAACCCAGAACCATATGGATTCACAGCCAAATTTTACTGGAGGTACAAAGAGGAGCTGGTACCATTTCTTCTGAAACTATTCCAAACAATAGAAAACAAAGGACTCCTCCCTAACTCATTTTATAGGGGCAGCATCATTCTGATACCAAAACCTAGCAGAGACATAACAAGACAAGAAAATTTCAGGCCAATATTCCTGATGAACATCGATGCAAAAATCCTCAATAAAATACTGGCAAACCGAATCCAGCAGCACATTAAAAAGCTTATCCACAATGATCAAGTTGGCTTCATCTCTGGGATGCAAGGCTGGTTTAACATATGCAAATCAGTAAATGTAATCCATCACATAAACAGATCCAATGACAAAACCATATAATTATCTCAATAGATGGAGAAAAGGCCTTCAATAAAATTCAACACCCCTTCAAGCTAAAAACACTCAATAAACTAGGTATTGATGGAACATATCTCAAAATAATAGGAGCTATTTATGACAAATCCACAGGCAATATCATACCAAATGGGCAAAAGCTGGAAGCATTCCTTTTGAATACCGGCACAAGACAAGGATGCCCTCTCTTACCACTCCTATTCAACATAGTGTTGGAAGTTCTGGCCAGGGCAATCTGGCAAGAAAAAGAAATAAAGGTATTCAGATAGGAAGAGAGGAAGTCAAATGATCTCTGTTTGCAGATGAAATGATTGTATATTTAGAAAACTCTATTGTCTAAGCCCCAAATCTCCTTAAGCTGATAAGCAACTTCAGCAAAGTCTCAGGATACAAAATCAATGTGTAAAATCACAAGAATTCATACACACCAATGACGGACAAACAGAGAGCCAAATCATGAGCAAACTCCCATTCAGAATTGCTACAAAGAGAATAATATACTTAGGAATACAACTCACAAGGGATGTGAAGGACCTCTTCAAGGAGAACTACAAATCACTGCTCAAGGAAATATGAGAAGACACAAACAAAAGGAAAAACATTCAATGCTCATGGATAGGAAGAATCAATATCGTGGAAATGTTGATACTGCCCAAAGTAATTTATAGATTCAATGCTATTCCCATCAAGCTACAGCTGACATTCTTCACTGAATTAGAAAAAACTACTCTAAATTTCATATGGAACCAAAAAAGAGCCCACATAACCAAGAAAATCCTAAGCAAAAAGAACAAAGCTGGAGACATCACACTACCTGACTTCAAACTATGCTACAAGGCTACAGTAACCAAAACAGCATGGTATTGTTACCAAAACAGATATATAGAACAATGGAGCAAAACAGAGGCCTCAGAAATAACACCATACATCTACAAACATCTGATCTTTGACAAACCTGACTATAAAACAAGCAATGGTGAAAGATTCCATATTTAATAAATGGTGTTGGGAAAATTGGATAGTCATATGCAGAAAACTGAAACTGGACCCCTTCCTTATACCTTATACAAAAATTAACTCAAGATGGATTAAAGATTTAAAATCAGACCTAAAACCATAAAAACCCTAGAAGCAAACCTAAGCAATACCATTCAGGACATGGGCATGGGCAAAGACTTCATGACTAAAAAGCAATTGCAACAAAATCCATAATTGACAAATGGGATCTAATTAAACTAAAGAGCTTCTGCACAGCAAAAGAAACTTTCATCAGAATGAAAAGACCACCTACAGAATGGGAGATAATTTTTGCAATCTATCCATCTGACAAAGGGATAATATCCAGAATCTACAAGAAAATTAAACAAATTTACAAGAAAAAAACAACTCCATCAAAAAGTGGGTGAAGGATATGAACAGACACTCTTCAAAAGAAGACGTTTATGTGGCCAAGAAACATGAAAAAACACTAATCATCACTGGTCATTAGAAAAATGCAAATCAAAACCACAATGAAATGCCATCTCACACCAGTTAGAATGGCAATCATTAAAAAGTCAGGAAACAACAAATGCTGGAGAGGATGTGGAGAAATAAGAATGCTTTTACACTGTTGGTGCGAGTGTAAATTAGTTCAACCATTGTGGAAGACAGTGTGGCAATTCCTCAAGGATCTAGAAGTAAAAATACCATTTAACCCAGCAGCCCCCCATCACTGGGTATATACCCAAAGGATTATAAATCATTCTATTATGATGTTACATGCAAACATATGTTTATTGCAGCACTGTTCACAATAGCAAAGACTTGGAACCAACCCAAATACCCATCAATGTTAGACTGGATAAATAAAATGTGGCAGATATACAGAGTGGAATACTATGCAACCATAAAAAAGAATGAGTTCATGTTCTTTGCAGGGTCATGGATGAAGCTGGAAACCATCATTCTCAGCAAACTAACACAGGACCAGAAAACCAAACACCGCATGTTGTCACTCATAAGTGGGAACTAAAAAATGGGAACATATGGGCATAGGGAGGGGAACATCACACACTGGGGCCTGTTGGAGGTTGGGGGGCAAGCAGAGGGATAGTATTAGGAGAAATACCTAATGTAGATGACAAGTTGATAGGTACAGCAAACCACCATGGCACATGTATATCTATGCAACAAACCTGCAGGTTCTGCACATGTATCCCAGAACTTAAAGTATATATATATCCCAGAACTTAAAGTATATAAAATATATACACACACACACACACACACACATATACACACACACACACACATATATAAATGGAATTAAGAGATAAGGCAATTAAAAGGCAATTAAACCTTGAAAAAAATATAGTAGATATGGGCATGGATACAGTTAAAAAAGAACACTTTTACATTGTTTGTGGAAATGTAAACTAGTGCAGCCACTATGAGAAACATTGTGGAGATTCCTTAAAGAAATAATAGTAGATCTACCATTTGATCCAGCAATCCCGCTACCTGGTGTCTACCCAGAGAAAGAGAAGTCTTTATATGAAAAAGACTTGAAGAACTAAAAGTAGATCTCCCAT
The DNA here is from genome assembly GCF_000001405.40 of Homo sapiens. Lineage (NCBI taxonomy): Eukaryota > Metazoa > Chordata > Mammalia > Primates > Hominidae > Homo > Homo sapiens. Next base: position 41,644,737 of record NC_000011.10, on the reverse strand, counting down.
TTGATCCAGCAATCCCACTACGTGGTATCTACCCAGAGGAAAAGAAGTCATTATATGAAAAAGATACTTAAACAACCATGTTTATAGCAGCAAAATTTGCAATTGCAAAAATATGGAACCAGTCCCATTGCCCATCAATTAATGAGTGGATAAAGATAATGTGAAATATTACTACTACTATCATGGAAATACTACTCAGCCATAGAAAGAAATAAAATAATGAAAATAATGACACTTGCAGCAACCTGGGTGGAATTGGAAACTATCATTCTAAGTGAAGTAACTCAGGAATGGAAAACCAAACATTGTATATTCTCATTCATATGTGGGAGCTAAGCTATGAGGATGCAAAAGCATAAGAATTATACATTGGACTTTGTTTGGGGACTTGGGCAAAAGGCTAGTAGTTGATGAGAGATAAAATACTACACATTGGGTACAGTGTACACTGCTTGGGTGATAGGTTCACCAAGGTCTTAGAAATCACCACTGAAGAACTTATTCATGTAACCAAACACCACCTGTTCCCCAAAAACCTATAAATAAAGGAATAAAAAAATTTAAAAAAATTCTAATAAGAATTACCAAAAAATACAGAAAAGACATAAATGTACAATATCAAAGATGAAACAGAATATGTAAGCACAGATCCCACAACTATAATACATTAACAGAATGAAGGAGAAAGGCAATATGATCATCTCATTAGATGCAGAAAGAGCATTTGACAATATTTAACTTATTTTCAGGATATAAACTCTCACCAAATTATGTATAGAAAAAAATCTATGTACAGAAGAAATTATGTATCAAAGAAATCTATGTTTGTATCAAATTACATATAGAAAGACTCTACCTTAACACAGTAATGTTCACGTAAGATAATCACACAGTTAACATGTACTAAATAGTGAAGAATCGAAAGCCTTTACTTTAAGATCTGGAGCAAAACAAGAATGCTCACTCTTGTTTCTTCTATTCAACATAGTATAGAAGTTCTTGCCAGAATAATGAGGCAAGAAAATAAAATAAAAGGCATTCAAATAGAAAATGATAAAGTGAAATTTTCAGTTTTTGCTGGTGACATAATCTTATACACAAAAAATCCTACAACTGCCACCAAAAAACTGATAGATCTAATAAACTAACCCAGTAAATTTGTAGGGTACAAAATAAACACACAATAATTAACAATGTTTTCATACATGAAAGAGAAGAGAACAATTCTGTTTACAACACTTAAAAAATTAAACACTTAGGAATAAGTTTAACCAAGGAGGTAAAGACCTGTACACTAAAAAGTATAAGATCTTGATAAAAGAATTTGAAGAAGACATAAATAAAAAGAAAGATATCCCATGTTCATGGATCAGAAAATTAATATTGTTAAAACATTTATTCTACTCAAAGCATCTACAGATTCAATCCAATCCTTATCAAAATTCTAATATTATTTTCATAGAAATAGAAAAAGAAATCCTAAAATTTATATTGAACCACAAAAATTCCCAAATAGTTGAGACAATTATGAACAAAAAGAACATAGCTGGAGGAATCACACTACCTGATTTCAAACTATAATACAAAGCTATAGTAACTAAAACAGCATTGTACTGGCGAAAAATAAAAATAAAAAACCACTTCAATCTATGGAACAAAATAGCCCAGAAATAAATTTATACATGTAGTCAAATTTCAAGGAGAAAAGGAGAGTCTTTTCAATAAATGGTGATTGAAAAACTAAACTTCCAGAAGCAGAAGAATGAAATTGGCTCTTTATTTAACACCATGTACAAATATTAACTCAAAGGGGATTAAAAGCTTGAAAGTAAGACCAGAAATTCTAGAACTAATAGAAGAAAATATGGGAAAAAAATACATGACATTAGTGTAGTCCATATATTTTTTTAATTTGGCCCCAAAAGTACACACAACAAAAGCAAAGATAGGCAAATAGGATTACATCAAACTGAAAAGCTATGCACAGTAAAAGAAACTATTAACTGTTTGCAGAGACAACCTATGGATTGGGAAAAAATATTTGCAAGTCATACATAAAGTAAGTTAATATTTAAACTATTAACAATTCAATAGCAAAGAGTTCAGATAACTCAATAGCAAGAAAACAAAACAAGAATGAAAAAGAAAAAAATATTTAAAAATATGCAAGGGACCTGAATAAATATTTCTCAAAATAAAACATACAAATGTTCAGCAAATATTTTTAAAATGCTCAACATTTACAATCCTTAAGGAAATACAAATTAAAACCATAATGAAATATCATCTCATACTTGCCAGAATGGCTATTGACAAAACATAGAAAGAAAAGTGTTGGCAAGGATATGGAGAAAAGGTAACATTGCATATAGTTGGTTGGAATAAAATTAGTATAGCCATTATGGAAAATATTAAGGAAGTTTCTCAAAAAACTGAAAATAGAATTGCCATATGACCCAGAAATCTCACTTCCTGGAATTTACCCAAAACGCTTGAACTCAGTTTCTCAAAAAGATGTCTACATGCTCATGTTCATTGCAGCACTATTTACAGTAGCCAAGTTTTGTGCATCAACAGATAATTGGATAAATAAAATACAGGATGGGAAATATCTGCAGATGGCTGAGGTGGTTACTGGCCCACATGGTGGCTGTGGCAGGGACTGGCAGACATAGCAGCTGCAATAGGCAACAGCGGACAAATGGCTATGATGGGGCCTGGCATACAATGGGTGCAGCAGTGGCAGTGGTGGCATGGCTTATGACAGTCTTTCTGCTCCTTGTGGACAGATATACATTTAGGGCCAATGTGCATGCACCCTTCAGTGCTGTCATGGCTGTTGGCAATATGTGAGCAAGCATGTATCCTGCTGCCACTGTCCCAATAGAGTGCTTTGGCTGGAAGCACCCATCAGAGTGTGGTGGCCAAGAGACTGGGAACAACTCAGCCCTTCCAGTACAGCAGGTTCCTAATGGGGCTAGAAAACAAAGCTGGGTGTCTGGTACCAGCCTCCCAGAGTTAGTGGGGCCTCCCAGACCAGGAGGGCCGAGTTGAGCATTGGCCCCTAAAATCTTCCAGAAATAAACTGAGTCAACTGAACCCACGTTATACCACAATGAAAACCCTCAGGGCATCAAACAAAACAGAAGCAAAACAAAACAACAACAACAAAAACAAACAAACAAAACAAACAAAGGACAGCAATTTCAAAGATTGAAGGAACTTCAGCCCACACATATGAGAAAGACCCAGCACAAGAACACTGGCAACTCAACAAGCCAGAGTGTTTCCCTACTTTCAGACACTTACAGTAGTTTCCCAGCAATGGTTCTTAACTGGGCTGAACTGACTGAAATAATAGAAATTGAATTCAGAATATGGATAGAAACAAAGATTATCTGCATCCAGAAGAAGGTCAAAACCCAATACAAGGAATATAAGGAACACATTAAAATGATGAATGAGATAAAAGACAAAATGGCTTTTCAAATAAAGAACAAAATTAATATGATAAAGCTAAAAAACACACTTCAACAATTCCATAATACAATCCCATATATTAACAGTAGAATCAACCAAGCTAAAGAACGAATCTCAGAGCTTGCAGATTGGTTCTCCAGAATAACTCAGGCAGAAAAAGTGAAGAAGAAACAATAAAGGAAAATTAATAAAACCTGTGAGAAATATGGAATTATATAAAGAGACCAAATATATGACTTATTGATGTCCCTGAAAGAGAAGGAGGAAAAGCAGGCAACTTGGAAAATATATTTAAAGATATAATCCATGAAAATTCCCCCCGACCTCACTAGAGAGGCCTGAATTCAAATTCAGGAAATGTAGAGGACCCCTGCAAGACACTATACAAGATGGCCATCCCCAAGACACATAGTCATCAGATTCTGCAAGTTTAAAAAGAAAGAAAAAATGTTAAAGGCAGCGAGAAAGAAGGAGCAGATCACCTACAGAGGGAACACCATCAGACTAACAATGGAATTTTCAGCAGAAACCCCACAAGAGATCGGGGCCTATATTCAGCATTCTCAAAGAAAAGAAATTCCAGTTTAAAAATTTATATCCAGCCAAACTAAGCTTCATAAGTAAAGGAGAAATAAGATCCCTTTCAGATAAACAAATGCTAAGGAAATTTATTAGCACCAGAGCTTCCTTACAAGAGGTCCTTAGAAGAGTGCCAAATATGGAAAGAAACAACTTTTACTGGCCACGGAAAAAACATACTTAAGTACATAGACCATTGATGTTATTAAATATAAAGCAACTACACAATTAAATCTGCATAATAACCAGCTAACAACACAATGACAGGATCAAATCCACACATATCAATACTAACCTTGAATGTAAATTGCTTCAATGTCCCAATTAAAAGGCACAGAGTATCAATATGGATAAAGAAACAAGAGCCAATGCTATACTGCCTTTAAGAGACCCCTCTCGTATACAATGATACCCATCAGCTCAAAGGAGAAAAATCTACTAAGCAAATGGAAAATAGAAAAAAGCAAGAGTTGCTATTCTAACTTCAGACAAAAAACACTTTAAACCAAAAATGATCAAAAAAGACAAAGAACAGCATTACATAATGGCAAGGCTTCAATTAAAAAATAACACCTAAATATATATGTACCCAACATAAGAGCACCCAGATTCATAAAGCAAGTTCTTAGAGACCTACAGAAAGGCCAAGATAGACACACAATAATAGTGGGAGATTTTAACAGCCCACTGGCAGATCATTGAGACATACAACTATTGAAGATATTTGGAACCTCAACTTGACACATGACCAAATGGGCCTAATAGACATCTATATAACTCTTCACATCAAAACAATAGAATATACATTCTTCTTATCTGCACATGATACATAATCTAAAATCATCCAGACAATCACCCATAAAATAGCCCTCAGCAAATTCAGAAAAACTGAAATCCTACCAAACACACTCACCAACCATAGTGCAATAAAAATAGAAATCAATACAAAAAAAAGAAATCACTCAAAACCATATAATTACATGGAAATTAAATAACCTGCTCCTACATGACTTTATGGTAAACAATGAAATTAAGGCAGAAATCAATAAATTCCTTGACACTAATGAGAACAATGATATAACATACCAAAATATCAGGAAAACAAGAAAAGCAGTGTTAAGAGGAAAGTTTACAGCACTAAATGCCCACATCAAAAAATTGGAAAGGTCTCAAATTAACAACCTAACATCACAGCTAGAGTGCTATGGTTTGTCTGTGTCCCCACCCAAATCTCATCTTGAACTGTAGCTCCCACAATTCCAGTGTGTCACAGGAGCAACACGGTGGGAGGTAATTGAATCATGGTGGTGGGTCTTTAATGTGCTATTCTCATAATAGTGAATAAGTCTCACAAGATCTGATGGTTTTATAAAGGGGAGTTTCCCTGCACAAATTCTTTCTTGTCTGCCTCCATGTAATATGTGCCTTTTTCCTTCCACCATGATTGCAAGACCTCCCCAGCCATGTGGTTTAACTGCCCAGTGGGTTCACTTTACCTGCTGCTTAGAGCCCATTTCTCTAGACAGGGGAATTGCATTAGAGGAAGAGTAATTCACCCAGAGCCAGCTGTGCAGGACACCAAAGTTTTATTATTACTCAAATATGTCTCCCAAGTATTCAGGATGAGGGGCAGTGAGTCAGGGAATGCTAACTGGTTGGGTTGGAGATGAAATCATCCAATGTCACTGTCTTCTTGCACTGAGTCAGTTCCTGGGTGGGAAGGTCACAAGATCAGATTGGCCAGTTTCTCAATCTGAGGGGTGCCGGTTGATCCATCAAGTGCAGTGTCTGCAAAATATCTCAAGCACTGATTTTAGGATCAGTTTAGGGAGGGTCAGAATCTTGTAGCCTTCAGCAGTGTGACTTCAAAGCCATAATTCCTAATCTTGTGGCTAATGTTAGTAGTCTAGTCCCCAGGAAAGAAGGAGGTTTGTTTTGGAAAAGGACTTTCACTGTCTCTGTTTTAAACTATAAACTAAGTTCCTCCCAAAGTTAGTTTAGCCTATGCCCAGGAATAAACAAGGACAGCTTGGAGGTTAGTGGCAAGATGGAGTTGTTTAAGTTGGATCTCTTTCACTGTCTTGGTCAGAATTTTGCTGAGATGGTTTCAGTGAATCTATGATCCATTAAACCTCTTTTTCTTTATAAATTACCCAGTCTTGGGTGTATCTTTATCGGTAGCATGAAAATAAATAAATACAGTAAGATTGGTACTGGTAGAGTGGGGTGCTGCTGTAAAAAATACCTGAAAAATGTGGAAGAAACTTTGGAACAGGGTATCAGTCAGAGGTTGGAAAAGTTTGGAGGGCTCAGAAGAAGAGAGAAAAATGTTGGACAGTTTGGAACTTCCTAGAGACTTGTTGAATGGCTTTGACCAAAATCCTAATAATGATATGGACAATGAAAACCAGGGTGAGGTGGCCTCAGATGGAGATGAGGAAATTGTTGGGAACTGGAGTAAAAGGTGACTCCTGCTATGTGTCAGCAAAAAGACTGGTAGTATTTTGTCCCTGCCCTAGAGATTTGTGGAACTTTGAACTTGACAGAGATGATTTAGTGTATCTGGTGGAAGAAATTTCTAAGCAACAAAGCATTTAAGAGGTGACGTGGGTGCTGTTAAAGGCATTCAGGTTTATAAGGGAAGCAGAGCATAAAAGTTCAGAAAATTTGCAGCCTGACAATGAGAAAGAAAAAAAACAAACCATTTTCTCAGGACAAATTCAAGCCAGCTGCAGAAATTTGCTTAAGTAACGAGCCAAATTTTAAAGCATCAAAACAATGCAGAAAATGTCTCTAGGGCATGTCAAAGGCCTTCACAACAGCCCTTCCCATCACAGGCCTGGAGGCCTAAAAGAAAAAAATTGGTATCCTGGGCCAGGTCCAGGGCCCCCCTACTCTATGTAGCTTCAGGACATGGTGCATAGAGTAGGGGGACCCTGGGACCGGTCGAGGTTACCTGCATCCCAGCCTCTCCAGTTGCAGCTAAAATGGGCCAAGGTACAGCTTGGGCCGTGGCTTTGGAGGGTGAAAGCCCCAGTCCTTGGTAGCTCCCATGTGGTGTTGGTCCTGTGGCTGCATAGAAGATAAGAATTGAGGTTTGGGAACCTCCACCTAGATTTCAGAAGATGTATGAGAATGCCTGGATGTTCAGGCAGAAGTTTGCTGCAGGGGCAGGGCCGTCGTGGTGAAACTCTGATAGGGCGGTGCATGACGGAAAATATGGGGTTGAAGTCCAAACCCAGAGTCCCCACTGGGGCACTTCCTAGTGGAGCTGTGAATAGAAGGCCACCATCTTCCAGACCCAGAATTATAGATTCAATGACAGGCTGCACCATGCACCTGGAAAAGCTGTAGACCCTCAATGCCAGCTCGTGAAAGCTGCTGGGAAGGAGGTTGTACCTGGCAAAGCCACAGGGGTGGACCCACCTCATGCATCAGCATGACTTGGATGTGAGACATGGAGTCAAAAAAGATCATTTTGGAGCTTTAAGATTTGACTGCCCCACTGGATTTTGGACTTGCATGGGGCCTGTAGCCCTTTGCTTTGGCCAATTTCTCCCATTTAGAATGGCTGTATTTATCCAATCCCTGTATCCCCACTGTATCTAGGAATTAACTAACTTGCTTTTCATTTTACAGGCTCACAGGCAAAAGGGACTTGCCTTGTCTCAGATGAGACATTGGACTGTGGACTTTTGAGTTAATGCTAAAAAGAGTTAAGACTTTGGGGGACTGTTTGGAAGGCATAATTGGTTTTTAAATATGAGGACATGAGATTTGGGAGGGGTCAGGGACAGAATGATATGGTCTGGCTGTGTCCCCAAATCTCATCTTTTGAATTGTTGCTCCCACAATTCCCATGTGTCATTGGAGGGACCTGGTGGGAGGTAATTGAATCATGGGCACAGGTCCTTCATGTGCTGTTCTCAAGATAGTGAATAAGTCTCGTGAGATCTGACAGTTTTATAAAGGCAAGATTCCCTGCACAAGTTGTCTCTTGTTTGCCCCCATGTAAGTCGTGCCTTTTTCCTTCTTCCATGATTGTGAGACCTCCCCAGTCACATGGAACTTTGAGTCCATGAAACCTTTTTTCTTTATAAATTACCCAGTCTTGTGTATGTCTTTATCAGCAGCATGAAAACGGACTAATACATACAGTAACTAGAGAAACAAAAGAAAATGCATCCTAATGATAGCAAAAGACAAGAAATAACCAAAACCAGAGTTGAACTGATGGAAATTGAGATGCAAGAAGCCATAGAAAAGATCAACGCATTTGGTAGTTTTTGAAAGAAGAAATAAGATTGACAGACCATTAGCTACACTAATAAAAAAAGTAAAAAAGTAAAGAAGGTCCAAATAAGCACAATTAGAAATGACAACAAGGACATTCCTGCCAACCACATAGAAATAAAAAACAACCCTCAGTGACTATTATGAACACCTTTATGCACACAGCCTAGTAAACCTAGAGGAAATTGATAAATTCCTGTAAACATACAACCTGTCAAGATTGAAACCAAAAGAAATTAAATCCCTGAACAGGCTGATTATGAGTATCAAAATTGAATCAGTAATAAATAGCCTATTAACCAAAAAAGTCAATGAGCTAACAGATTCACAGCTGAATTATACTAGACAAGCAAAGAAGAGCTAGTATTATTCCTCCTGAAACTATTCCAAAACATTGAGATGGAGATACTCCTCCCTAACTCATTCTATTAGTCCAGCATCATCCTGATACTAAAACCTGGCAAAGATATAACAAAAAAAGAAAATTTCAGGCCAGTATCCCTGATGCACATAGATGTGAAAATCCTCAACAAAATACTAGCAAACGGAATCCAGCAGCACATCAAAAAGCTAATCCACCATGATCAAGTAGAAGTTATCCTTGGGATGCAAGTTTGGTTCAACATATGCAAATCAACAAATGTGATTTATCACATAAACAGAACTAAAAACGAAAAACACATGAGCACCTCAATAGATGCAAGAAGGACTTTAAATAAAATTCAAAACCCCTTCAGGTTAAAACCCTCAACAAACTAGGCACTGAAGGAGTATGCCTCAAAGTAATAAGAATCATCTGTGACAGACTCACAGCCAGTATCATACTAAATGGGAAAAAGCTGGAAGCATTTCCCTTGACAACCGAAACCATATAAGGATGCCTGCTCTTAGCACTAATATTTCACGTAGTAATGAAAGTCCTGGCTAGAGCAATCAGTCAAGAGAAAGAAATAAAAGTCATCCAAATAGGAAGAGAGGAAGCTAAACTATCTCTATTTGCAGATGATATGATTCTATACCTAGAAAACACCATAGTCTCTGCCCAAGAGCTCCTAGATCTGAAAAACATTAATGTTTCAGGCTACAAAATCAATGTACAAAAATTAATATCATTTCTACACACCAACAATGTCCAAGCTGAAAACCAAATGAAGAACACAGTCCCATTCACAATAGTCACGAAAAGAATAAAATACCTATAAATAGAGCTAACTAGAAAGGTGGAAGACCTCTACAATCATAATTACAAGGCACTACTCAAGGAAATCAGAGATGACACAAACAGAAAAGCATTCCATGCTCATGGATAAGAAGAATGATACTGTTAAAATGGCCACACTTCCCAAAGCAATCTACAGATTAAGTGCTATTCCTGTCAATCTACCAATGACATTCTTTACACAATTAGAAATAACAATTCTACAACTCTTATGGAATCAAAAAAGAGTCTGAATAGCCAAGGCAATTCTAGGCAAACAGAACAAAGCTGAAGGTGCCAGAGTATTCAACTTCAAACTATACTACAAGGCTTCAATGACTCAAACAGCAATGTACTGGCACAAAGACAAACACATTGACCAATGGCACAGAATAGAGACTAGAATAAGGTAACACACTTACAACTATCTGATCTCCAACAAAGTCAACAAAACAAGCAATGGGGAAAGGATTCCCTATTCACTAAATGGTGCTGGGATAAGTGGCTAACCATATTCACACTATTAAAACTGGACCCCTTTCTTACACCATGTACAAAAATCTACTTAAGAGGGATTAAAGACTTAAATGTAAAACTTGAAAGTGTAAAAATTCTGGGAGATAACCTAGGCAATATCATTCTGGAAATGGACCCTGGCAAAAATATCAAGACAAAGAAGCCAAAAACAATTGCAACAGAAGCAAAAATTGATAAATGGGACCTAATTAAAGAGCTTCTGCACAGCAAAAGAAACTAACAATGGAGTAAACAGACAGCCTACAAAATGGGAGAAAATATTTGCAAACTATGCATCTGACAAAGGTCTAATGTCCAGAATCTATAAAGAGTTTAAACAAATTTACAAGAAAGAAAACAACCCCATAGAAAGGGGGCAAAATACATGAATGGACACCTTTTAAAAGAAGACAGGCATGTGACTAACAAGTATATGAAAAAAAGATGCTCAACATCAGTAGTCATTAGAGAAATGTAAATGAAAACCATAATTAGATACCTCTAACACCAGTCAGAATAGCTATTGTTAAAAAGTCAAAAAATAACACATGCTAGTGAAGTTGTGGAGAAAAGGGAATGCTTATACACTGCTGGCAGAAATGTACATTTTTTCACCATTGTGAAAAGCAGCATGGCAATATTTCAACATAAAACAGAATTACCATTTGACCAAGCAATCTCATTATTGGCTATATCATTCTACCATAACGATACATGCCACTTATGTTCACTGCAGCATTTTTCACAATAGCAAAGACATGGAATCAACCTAAATGCCCACCAATGGTAGACTGGATAAAGAAAATGTGGTACATAGACACCATGAAATATTACATAGCCATAAAAAGACATGAGATCATGTCCTTTGCAGCAACATGGATAGAGCTTAAGGTCATTATCCTAATAAACTAATGCAGGAACAGAAAACTAAACATCGTATGTTCTCACTTATAAATGAGAGCTAAATGATGAGAACACAGGGACACAGCATACGCTGGGGCCTATTGGAAGGTGGAGGGTGAGAGGTGGAAAATATTCCAGAAAAATATTTATTAGTTAGTATTCTTATTACCTGGGTGATGAAATAATCTGTACATAAAACCCTTTTGACATGCAATTTACCTATATAACAAACCTACACATATACCCTGAACTTAAAACAAAAGTTAAAAAAATACACTTACACAGTTTATCCCAATTATATAAGCAGTTAACATAGTTCAGTAGGCTACTTGAAATTAAAACTACTTAATGTAAAAAATAAAAGAAAAAAGAAAATTCAGTCATACACAGAATGAAATACTATTCAGCCTTAAGAAAGGAAGGACATTCTTCCATTTGTGACAACATGGATGGAATTAGAGAAAGTTATAGTAAGTGAAATAAATCAGGCACAGAAGGATAGCTATCGCATGTTCTCATTTACATGTGGAATCTAAAACAATCAGTCTCATAGTTGCAGAGGGCAGAATGGTTGTTATGGAGGCCAGAGGTGAAGAGAGTACAGACACGATGGTCAAAGGATACAAAATGTCCATTAGGTTGTAGGAATATATTTTTATTTTTTGAGTCACATTGTACAGCATCTTGAATGTAATTAATAATAGCATATGATACATTTCAAAATTGCTAGGAAAGTAAATTTCAAAAATATTCACAACAAAACCTGTTAAGTATGTGAGGTGATAGCTATGTTAATGAGTTTGATTTAATTATTGCACATTGTATTCATAAATCAAAAATATAAATTATAAATAATTTTGTACCCCATACATTTCTACATTCATAAATTGTCAATTTACAGTAAAAATGTACATGTGAAAGATGACTCATATATACATTTCTAACAGCTTTATTTTCTAAATAATTTATTGAGGAATCTTTTACTTATAAGAAAATGCACACATTTTAAGGCTGCAGTTCAGCGTTTTCATAATGTGTATATCTGTGCTAACAACTCCGTAATCAAAATATAAACATTTACAAAACCCCAAGAATTTCCCTTGTATCCCTTCATAGATCATCTTTTCTCCCAGGAAAATGTTGTTATGATTTCTGTTACCATAGCAGTTTTTTCTTTTTCTTTTTCTTTTTTTTTTTGAGACAGAGTCTCGCACTGTCACCCAGACTGGAGTGCAGTGGCGCGATCTCAGCTCACTGCAAGCTCCGCCTCCCAAGTTCACGCCATTCTCCTGCCTCGGCCTCCCGAGTAGCTGGGACTACAGGCGCCTGCCACCACACCCGGCTAATTTTTTTGTATTTTTAGTAGAGACAGGGTTTCACCATGTTAGCCAGGGTGGTCTCGATCTCCTGACCTTGCCCGCTTTGGCCTCCCAAGGTTCTGGGATTACAGGCCTGAGCCACCGTGCCCGGCCTCACCATAGTAGTTTTATCTGTTCTATAATTTATATAAATAAAATCAACTATTAAGAGAAAGATTATTAAAAAAAATTCCATGAACAACTCTACAACTCTACACACAAAAAAGGTGAATTGTACAAAATGGACCAATTTCTTGAAATGCATAAACTATTAAAACTGCATGTTACAAGATAGATCATCGGAATAGCCCTACAACTATTGAGAAAATTGTGTTTGTAATTGAAAAACTGTCACAAAAGAAATATCTAGACCCTGAATGTTTCACCAAATAATTGTTCAAAATATTTAAAGAATTGAAATGAAGTGTACGCAATATTTTCCACAAAATATGAAAGAAGAGAATACTTTCTAACTTATTTTATAAAGGTATTATTACCCTGATGCCAGATGCAGACAAAGACATCACAGAAAAAGATAAAACTGTAGCTCAATATTTTTATAAATAAAAATGTGAAAATATTTAACTAAACAATAGTAAATGAATTTATCAATGTATAAAAAGAATTATACACCATGATCAAGCAAAGTTTATTACAGCAATTCAAGACTGGTTTAATATCCAAAAATTGATTATTATAATCCATCATAATAGCAAGCTAAAAAAGGGAAAATCTCACAAGCATGTCATTTAGTACAGAAGTGTATTTGAGAAAATTCAATAATTTTTAATAATGAAAAGTTTAGGAATACAGTAATAGAGGAAAACTTTTATTATGTGATAAAGAGCACTTATAAAAAGTGCATAGTTCACATTATATTTAATGGTATAATAATGAATTATTTCCCCCTAAGGTCAGTCACCAGGCAAGGATGTCTGCTCTTATCACTGTTATTCAGTATTGGGCTGGAAGTTCTTTAAGTACAAGAAAGTAAGAAAAGGAAGTGAAAAGCATAGAAATAACAAAGGAAAAAATAAAACTGTCTCCATTTACAGATGAAATGACTCTCTATTGGTGTAGAAAACACCAAGAAATCTACAACAAAACTTTTAGATATGAGATAAAATAGGAGTTCATCATTATCAAAGGACGCAACATAAATTTACAAAAAAAAAGTATTTCCATATACCAGCAATAAACATGGGGAAACTCAAATTTAAAAAAGAAAACATACTATTTATAGTTGGTGAAAAAATGGAATTCTTAGCTGTAAAGAATTAAAAAGAATTTTTATGCTAAAATGTTGATGAAAGAAATCAAGATCTAAATGAAAAGAGAGACATACCATGTTCATTGGTTGGTAGACACAACAAAGTAAATATGTGAATTCTCCCCAAATTGATATTCAGTTTTAACACAATCCTGTCAAAATTCTTGCACTTATAGACAATATTGTTATAACAAGATATCTTGCACTTATAGACAATATTGTTATAACAAGATATCTTGCAGTTATAGACAATATTGTTATAAAATTTACATGGAAAGACAAAAGAACTAGAATAATGAGGACAATTTTGAAAAATGAAGAAATAAGCAGGGGGAATCAGTCTACCTTACTTCAGTGTTTATTGTACAATTAGAGAAATCAAGACTGTGGAGAGATACACATAGTTCAATAGAACTGAATAGAAAACCCAGAAATCAATCCACACAAATATGCCCAGCTGATTTTTTTACAAAGGTGCAAATCCAATTCAATGGAGAAATGATAGCCTTTTCAACTAATTATGTGAGAACAACTGGATATCCATAGCCAATTGACAAAACACACACACACACACACACACACACACACAACCTTGACTGAAATATCATGCCTGAGAAATACAGTAAAAATGAAATATGAGCTTAAATGTGAAGTTCTTAAAAAATAATTTTGAGAAAATGTTTTGTGTTTAGGTCTAGGCAAAAAGACTTTCTACCAAAAGCATGACCCATAAAAGAAAAGCATTTATGGCAGAGCACGGTGGCTCATGCCTGTAATCCCAGCACTTTGGGAGGCCTAGGCGGGTGGATCATGAGGTCACGAGTTAGAGACCAGCCTGGCCAACACGGCAAAACCCCCGTCTCTATTAAAAATACAAAAATTAGCTGGGTGTGGTGGTGGGAACCTGTAATCCCAGCTACTCAGGAGACTGAGGCAGGAGAACCATTTGAACCCGGGAAGAGGAGGTTGCGGTGAGCTGAGATTGAGCCATTGCACTCCAGCCTGGGCAACAAGACGGAAACTCTGTCTCATAAAGAAATAAATAAATAACCTCTGCTTTCTGAAAAACTCCAGTAACAGGACGAAAAGAAAAACTATAACCTCAGAGAAAATATTGGCAAATGGAATATCTAACAAAAGGCTAGTGTATAGGCTGGGCACAGTGGCTCACTCCTGTAACCCCGCACTTTGGGAGGCTGAGGTGGGCAGATTGCTTGAGCCTAGGAGTTCGAGATCAGCCTGGGCAACATGATGAAAACCTGTCTCTACAAACAACAACAACAACAACAAAAACCCAAAAGGCTAGTATATACAATATATAAAGAACTCTCAAATCTCAAAAATAGAAAAGAAAAATTTAAACAACTTAATCAGAAAATGAGCAAAGACACAGATATATATTTCAGTAGTTCAACAAAGGACATAGAGATGGCATAAAATAAATAAAAAGATGTTCAACATCATTAGCCATTAGGGAAATTTAAACTAAAGTTATAATAGATATTATTGCATGTTTATCAGAATGGTTAAAATGAAAAAAATAGTGGCAGTAGTCATGCATAATGGCCCATGCCTGTATTCCCAGCTACTAGGGAGTATGGTTTGAGCTCAGTTCAAGTCCAGCTTGTACAACAAAGTGAGGACCTGTCCTTAAAAAACAAAAATAAAACTAAAAACCATAGTGACAACATCAAATGCTAGTGTGGATGCAGAGAAGCTGTTGGGTTGTTGATAGGAACACAGAATGTTACAGGTTCTATGTAAAGCAACTTTTCATTTGCTTTGAAAAAACTAACCATGCAACTGTTATATCATCCAACAATTAGACTCCTGGGCATATATTTCAGAGACACAAAAACTTGCATCCACATAAAAACTTACATGGAAATGTTCATAGCAGTGTTTTTTGTTTTTTGTTTTTTGTTTTTACGGAGTCTTGCTCTGTTGCCCAGGCTGGAGTTCAATGGCGCGAACTCGGCTCACTGCAACCTCCACCTCCCAGGTTCAAGCCATTCTCCTGCCTCAGCCTCCCTCCTGAGTAGCTAGAATTACAGGCACCTGCCATCATGCCTGGGTAATTTTTGGATTTTTGCAGAGATGGGGTTTCACCTGTTGGCCAGGCTAGTCTTGAACCCCTGACCTCAGGTGATCTGCCCACCTTGGCCTCCCAAAGTGCTGGAATTACAGGCATGAGCCACCACGCCTGGCCTCATAGAAGTGTTATTCACAATAATTCCAAGCTGAAAACAGCCCATACACCTTTAAACTGGTGAAAAGATAAACAATCTGTAGTAATAAACATCAAGCATACTACTCAATAATATACAGAACAAGGCATTGATACATATGACAACTTATATGTCTCCACAGAGCTATTTTGAATGAAAATAAAGCAAATTCTCAAAGATTACACACTGCATGATACAATTTATACATAACATTCTTGAAATGACAAAATTGTCAAAATGAAGAACATATGAATAATTCCTAGGCTTTAAGGTGGAAGAGAGGAGGAAAGTGGTCGTGGCTGTAAAAAGAAGCATAAAAGATCCTTTTGGCGATGGATATTTTCCATATCTTGGCTCTATCAATGTCGTGATTTTGGTTGTGGTATTGTATTATAGCTTTGAAAGATGTTTTGCAAGATTGGGAGAACTTGGTGAAAGGTACATGAGATCTCTCTGTACTATTTCATACAGCCACATGTGAATCTACAATTATGTCAAGATTAAAAAATTAGTAAAAAATAATAAGGAAAATATAGCTGGCAGAAAAGGGCATTCCAGATAGAGGTGAAACAAAAGTTCATGACATTTTTGAAAGGATTTGAAAGGCATGGTGATATACCATGTGGGATATCTATGTGATACACAATGTGGGAGCATGATATCAAGTTAAAATTAGGAAAATTTAGTATCACTTCATTGTTATAATGCACTCTGTAGCAATGGGCAGCAAGTTGCAAATATAGAATAAATTTGAGGTCTAAATTTTTTTAAAAATTTATAACTGAAAATTAAAATAAAGATCAGCAAATCACTGTGGCATTGTTTTGATTGCCTTGAAATTGATCAAATTTTAGAATAATTGAATATTGGTAAAACCTGCTGTGTTAAAATCAATATTTAGTTATTTCTATTATGTCATGCTCGAGACAGTGTACAACACTTTGCTATCATTTTGTATCATTTTTGAACCAAGAAATGGAGTATGAGAACATTATCTAATTTTTTTATCTGGCAACAGTTAAATTAATGATACATAAAAAGGATACATGAAATTATGTACACTAAATTGTGATAATCAAAGATTGTGACTGATGACTTTTTAAAATATGTTTTAAGATGCATTTTCCGGTTTCAAAAAGTACAAATAAAAATGATGACATTGACTTTATGTACACTGAATCAGAAGCATCCATCTACCCTTAATGAGCTGAATTTGCAATCCAAAAATCAGTCTTCCTAAACTACACAGTTCTCTACTTCACAGTGAAGCAATGAGTACCTTTCGCAAAGTTGCAGAGATTCAGCCATCAGAACTGTGCTGACAATTCTAATTCACAATGGAATTTGGTGTTACCAGTCCATTGCTCATTAGAATTTGCAGTGCTAGCAGGAGAACAATGTATTTTTGTAGGTAAAGTCAGCAACTGTAGCACTAAACTACAGTTTGGAACAAATAGGAGAGTGGCACTTTTGAGACTATAACTGCATTTTAATGACACAACTTTCTGCACTCTAAGCATAGGTCAAATCTGAGCCTCAAAACCAGGTGGAAATATTAGGAGAAGAGATAGTGGCATCCCTAAATCTCATGCCTACCTGACAATGACCTTTAAATCAAATATCATTTTGTCTATAAAAAAGGAACCTAAGAATTATATCTCACTCTCTGTATATATTACATTCATGCATTATAATCACACATGCCACTGTTATGTAAGATAAATGTTCTATTTGTGTTTTATACCTAATAATACTTATAATAAGTACAAAATAGCATCTCAGAAGATAGTGGTACAAAATTATTACTTCAATAAAACGTTATGGTAGGTATAAGCACGTGAACTGAATAGTGATTTGCTGTGAGGAAAAATGGAATATACTATCAGAATACCTGAGAGTAATTTGTAGACCCTCTTTTTAATGTTAATACTAAATCCAAAGTGTAGTCTCTAGGCCAGCAGCCTCAGTGTATCTGGGAGGATGTTAGAAATGTAAATTCTCAGATCTGGCCTCAGACTTACTGAATGTGAATTGGAATATTTATAAGATATGGTGATTTGTAATGTTTGTACACTGGTGAAGTATTTATCTGACTTGTGTATTCCTGATCCATATATTGGAAACAATACCCTTATGGTGGAATAATTATAAATGACAATGTGGCAAAATTTGTGAAAGTGCCTTTTTAACTGAAGGGGAATTATATGGTTTGGCTACGTCCCCACTCAAATCTCATCTTGAGTTGTAATCTCCATAATCCCTATGTTAAGGGAGAGAGATGGTGGGAGGTGATAGGATCATGTGGGCAGTTTCTTCCATGCTGTTCTCATGATAGTGAGTGAGTTCTCATGAGATCTGATGGTTTATAAGCGTCTAGCATGTCCCCTGCTTGCACTTCTCTTCCCTGCAGCCATGTGAAGAAGGTCCTTGCTTCCCCTTCACCTTACGTTATAATTATAAGTCTCCTGAGGTCTCCCTAGCCATGTGGAACTGTTAAGCCAATTAAACCTCTTTTCTTTATAAATTACTTGGTCTTGGGTATTTCTTTATAGCAGTTGTGAAAATGAACTAACACAGTAAATTGGTACCAGAGAGAGTGGGATATTTCCACAAAGATACCCAAAAATGTGGACACAATTTTGGAACTGGGTAACAGAAGATGAAACAGTGTGGAGGGTTCAGAAGAAGATAGAAAGATGTGCATCTAAGCCTACGAACTTCCTGGAGACTTGTTGAATGGTTTTGACCAAAATGCTGATAGTGATGTGGACAATAAAGTCCTAGCTGAGGTGGTCTTAGACAGAGATGAGGAATTTATTGGGAACAGGAGCAAAGGCCATTCTTGGTATGCTTTAGAAAAGAGACTGGTGGCATTTTGCCCCTGCCCTAGAGATCTGTGGAACTTTGAACTTGAGAGAGATAATCTGAAATTGTAACTTATGTTTAAAAGGGAAGCAGAGCATAAGAGTTTGGAAATTTTGCAGCCCAATGATGCAATAGAAAAGAAAAACCCATTTTCTGGGGAGAAATTCAAGCCTGATGTAGAAATTTGCATAAATAGTGAGGAGCCAAATGTTAAACACCAAGACAATGGGGAAAATATCTCCGAGGCATGTCAGAGATCTTGGTGGCAGCCACTCTCATCAGAGGCCTGGCGGTCTAGGAGGAAAAAATGGTTTTACAGGCCAGGTCCAGGGACCCCCTGCTGTGCACAGCCTCAAGATTGGTGCCCTGCATCCTAGTTGCTCCAGGTGTAGCTAAAAGGGGCAAAGATACAGCTTAGGCCATTGTTCCAGAAGGTGCAAAACCCAACCCATGGAAGCTGCCATGTGGTGTTGGTCCTGAGGTGCACAGAAGAATTGAGGTTTGGGAACCTCTGCCTAGATTTCAGAGAATGTATGGAAATGCCTGGATGTCCAGGCACAGGTGTGCTGCAGGGGCAGAGTCCTCATGGAGAACCTCTGCTAGGGCAGTGCAGAAGGGAAATGTGGGGTTGGAGTCCCTACACAGAGTCCCCACTGGGGCAGTGCCTTGAGGAGCCGTGAGAAGAGGGCCACCATATTTCAGACCCCAGAAGGATAGACCCACTGACAGCTTACAGAGTGTGCCTGGAAAAGCCACAGACACTCAATGCCAGCCATGAAGGCAGCCAGGATGGTAGGCAGTACCCTGCAAAGCCACAGGGGCAGAGCTGCCCAAGGCTGTGGGAGACCACCCTTTGCATCAGCATGCCCTGCATGTGAGACATGGAGTCAAAGGGGATTATTTTGGAACTTTAAGATGTAATGACAGCCCTGCTGGATTTCAGACCTGTATGGGGCCTGTAGCCCTTTGTTTTGTCCAATTTCTCCCCCTTTGGAATGGGAGCATTTATACAATGCCTGTACCCTCATTGTATCTTGGAAGTAACTAACTTACTTTTGATTTTACAGGCTCCTAGGTGGAAAGGACTTGCCTTGCCTAAGATGAGACTTTGGACTGTGGGCTTTTGGGTTAATGCTGGAATGAGTTAAGACTTAGGAGGACTGTTGGCAAGGTGTGACTGCATTTTGAAATGTGAGGTCATTAGATTTGGGAGGGGCCAGGGGTAGAATGATATGGTATGGCTGGGTTCCCACCCAAACCTCATCTTGAATTGTAATCCTCATAATCCCAACATGTTGAGGGAGGGACACGGTTGGAGGTGATTGGATCATGGGGGCAGTTTCCCTCATGCTGTTGTCATAATAGTTAGTGAGGTCTCATGAGATCTCATGGTTTTATAAGCACCTGGCATTTCCCTGCTTGTACTTCTCTCTCCTGCCACCATGTGAGGAAGGTCCTTGCTTCCCCCTTGCCTTTCACCATAATTGTAAGTTTCCTGAGGCCTCCCCAGCCACGTGGAACTGTGAGTCCATTAAACCTCTTCCCTTTATAAATTACCCAGTCTCAGGTGTTTGTAAATATGAAAACAAGGAAGTCAGGACTGAAATGAAAAATAGAGAACAAAACAAAATCAGTTGTTTGTTTCTGTTTTTCAAAGGAGCAGGACAGATATAATCCTGTTTTATCTATTTTGTGGTTGAAGAAACTAAGGCATGTGTAGGTTAAGAAACACATGTATTAGTCATACAGGTTGTAAAAGCTAGTACAGACACTGCTCTCAAACACTACTTCTTTTCCAGAACAATATTATCCCTAAGTATAGGACAGGGTCACAGTAAGTACTGAACAATCTAAGAGAGGGAAGATCTTACATTTCCTGGACAGTATAACTCATAGCTACATGTATTTTGGGGAAACTTTTGTGTCTAGAATTGGTGGGCTCTTGGTCTCACTGACTTCAAGAATGAAGCCACGGACCCTCGTGGTGAGTGTTACAGTTCTTAAAGGCGGCATGTCAGAGTTTGTTCCTTCTGATGTTCAGATATGTTTGGAGTTTCTTCCTTCTAGTGGGTTCATGGTCTCGCTGTCTCAGGAGTGAAGCTGCAGACCTTCACGGTGAGTGCTACAGCTCATAAAAGCAGTGCGGACTCAAAGAGGGAACAGCAGCAAGATTTATTGCAAAGAGTGAAAGAACAAATCTTCCACAGTGTGGAAGGAGACCCAAGCCGGTTGCCACTGCTGGCTCGGGCAGCGTGCTTTTATTCTCTTATCTGGCCCCACCCACATCCTGCTGATTGGTCCAATTTAGAGAGAGCCGAGTGGTCTGTTTTACACGGAGCTGATTGGTCCATTTTGACAGGGTGCTGATTGGTACATTTACAATCCCTGACCTAGACACAAAAGTTTTACAGGTCCCCACTAGATTAGCTAGATACAGAGTGTGGATTGGTGTATTTACAAACCCTGAGCTAGACACAGAGTGCTGATTGGTGCATTTACAAACCTTGAGCTAGATACAGAGTGCCCATTGGTGTATTCATAATCCCTTAGCTAGACACAGAGATTCTCCCAAGTCCGCACCAGATTAGCTAGATACAGAGTGCCGATTGGTGCATCCACAAACCCTGAGCTAGACACAGGGTGCTGATTGGTGTGTTTACAAACCTTGAGCTAGATACAGAGTGCTGAATGGTGTATTTACAATCCCTTAGCTAGACATAAAGGTTCTCCAAGTCCCCACTAGACTCAGGAGCCCAGCTGGCTTCACCCAGTGGATTCCGCACTGGGGCTGCAGGTGCAGCTGCCTGCCAGTCCCACGCCGTGGGCCTGCACTTCTCAGCTCTTGGGCGGTGGATGAGACTGGGAGCCATGGGGCAGGGAGTGGCGCTCGGGTCCGGGAGGCTTGGGCTGCGTGGGAGCCCATGGTGGGTTTGGGGGGAGGCTCAGGCATGGCGGGCTGCAGGTCCCGAGCCCTGCCCCACGGGGAGGCAGCTAAGGCCTGGCGAGAAATCAAGCACAACAGCTGCTGGCCCAGATGCTAAGCCCCTCACTGCCCGGGGCTTGCAGGCGGGCCAGCCGCTCTGAATGCGGGGCCGCAGAGCCCACACCCACCAGGAACTGGCGCTGGCCCACAAGCGCCACACGCATCCCCGGTTCCTGCCCGTGCCTCTCCCTCCACACCTCCTCGCAAGCCGAGGCAGCTGGCTCCGGCCTCAGCCAGCCCAGAGAAGGGCTCCCATGGTGCAGCGGCAGGGTGAAGGGCTCCTCAAGCACGGCCAGAATGGGCGCCCAGGGCGAGGAGGCACGGAGAGCGAGCCAGGGCTGTGAGGGCCGCCAGCATGCTGTCACCTCTCACTTTGGGGAATAAGGAAATCTTTTCTGAGATAACTTGCTTCATCTGCTTTTACCCTGCCTCTATAGTCTTTGTATTACTCCATTCTTGCACTACTATAAAGGCATACCTGAGACTACGTAATATATGACGAAAAGAGGTTTAATTGACTCAGTTTCACAGGCTGTACAGAAAGCATGGTTGGGGAGCCCTCAGGAAACTTACAATCATGGCAGAAGGGTGAAGGGGAAGCAAGCGTTTACTTCATATGGTAGAGTAAGAGAGAAGAGAAAGCTATACACTTTTAAACAACCAGGTCTCACTCACTATCATGAGAACTGCAAGGGAAAAATCTGTCCCCATGATGCAATCACCTCCCACCAGTCCCCTCCCCCTACATTGGTAATTACAATTTGACATGAGATTTGAGTAGGCACACAGAGCCAAACCATGTCAGTCTCTTTGCTTCCAAAGATTATGTATACTTGCCTAATTAAATTAGGAACAAAACCTAACAAAGTATTATGAATATGTGTGTGTGAGTGTGACCCATGTATACCAGAAATACTGTACTCCAATCAACTGGTCAGGCTGAGCTGTGCTCTTTTCCCAATAAACATGACACTTCCTCTTCTCTCTTAGCCTTACTACACTCTTCTGCTACAGTATGATTCAGGTAGGCTCTTTCTCTTATGAGAAGTAACAGCCGACTTTGGCTATCTTATGAAAAAAGGAAGTTAATTGTACAGATTTAGTTCAACTTTTTGTAAAATGGAAAAGCCTCTACTTCTCTTCTGTTCTCTGTACCCACCACTGTGCTCTCTCATTGTCACTTGGTGCGTTCTTTCTGTGTTTGAATGCACCTCCTTTCTATGGACGACAAACACAATGATTGACAAGAGTAGTACAACTTGAATTGTTCTCCCAGATACACATAAGAAAATTTCATTTCTTCCTTATGACTCCACTCAAATGCCACTTCTTCTGTGAAGATGCTTGGGGAAGAGGACATTGTGGAATCTTTTTGTTTCATAGAAAAGCCCTGAACACAATGTTTGTATTATGAAATCTTGGGAGTGACCATGATATTTTGGTAATCAGAAACTGTTCGTTAATTTTAAAAATCAGTGCAATTTCTTGAGTTGGCTTGGTTAATTTATGTTAATGTGCTATGTGAAGATTTAGAGAGCACTGTCTCTTCTTAACTTCTATGGCATTATTAGAGAATCCATTTTGAGTATCCACCCATTTCAGTGTTTCAACAAAAGGAAAACAATATTTGTTTGGGAGTAGGTGTCCTGGTGAATGCATGCTGACCCCAAATAATCATTTCTCTATTTCGCAGTTGTATGCAAACTATGGAATTAATAATTCATTTAGAAGTTTTCCATGGTCCAATATCAAACTGTCATTTATAGCAGGATTATCCAACTCTTTTCCAATTGCAGAGTATTGTAAGTGATAATATGCATAAGGCACATGGGGGTAAACAGAAGCGACTTCAGGCAGTAACTAACCCTTGACCCTGCTTGGCTGCCCCAAGTAGATACACTGTTTGCCTCCTCCTTGCACCGGTATGCTGGACGTCCAGCTGGGAAGCTTTGATTACGCTATGACAATTCAGAAACCTGCTGTATTAGTCCATTTTCATGCTGCTGATAAAGACATACCTGAGACTGGGCAATATATAAAGGAAAGAGGTTTAATGAACTCACAGTTCCACACAGCTGGGGAGGCCTCACAATCATAGCGGAAGATGAAGGAAGAGGAAAGGGACTTCTTACATAGCGGCGAGCAAAAGGAGAGAATGAGAGCCAGTTGAAAGGGGACTGCCTTCTTTAACCCGCTCCCTTATTAAACCATCAGATCTCGTGAGACCTATTCACTACCACAAGAACAGTATAGGGAAAACTACACCCATGATTCAGTTACCTCCCAGAGTGTCCCTCCCACAACATGTGGGGATTATGGGAGCTTCAATTCAAGATGAGATTTGGGCAGGGACACAGCTGAACCATATCACCTGCCTTCTCAGTTTTTAAAAAAAAATTTATTCAGGGACTATTTAGCCACTTTTAAATAATGTCTCAAAACTCAGATACATTCTTTCCTATATATATTGAATGGGTTTTTGGAAATCAAGAGCAGCAAAGGGGCCAAAATACAAGAGAAAGACAGATTTCTGAATGGTCCCCATTGACTAGCAAAAAGCTTTACAAGTAATAAGTGCTCAATAAATGCCAGTTGATTTAAAGTGTACCTTCTGCCATAGTGATAAATTGTTCTATTCTTTCTTTCTCTCTTTCCGTATTAATAGGGTAGAAAATGCCCTTCAAACACTGACCCTGTCATATTGCAGATGCCTTCAGGTAGGGACCACTTATCTATTTTAATGTACGCCTTCCTTGTCATTTATACCTGCCATTTTCAAGTTGATTTTTTATCAGATATGTACCATCTCATTTGTTTCTATGCCTAGTTCCTTTTCCTTTTGCTAAGGATCTGTGGCCAGCACTATTTGTTTCACATCCTTAAAAAATCTCTCTTCTGTCTTCTTTCCTAAAACAGTAGCCTGGTATTCTTTTTTGCAGAAGAGGTGGGCTGGGCTACTGGTTTAAAGGCAGTCATGTAGCCTAATTCTGAGCAATGAGACATAATAGCAGTCTGATGGGATATGGGGTCTGCGGGGGAGGGGTACTGGGAGAGGCTTTTGCTCAAAGAAAGTGAGAAGAGGGAAGTGAATTTTTGTATTTTGAACCAGCTCTGGTTTCCTGCCTTGAGTGTAGTGTGAAGATGAGATGTAGAGCTGCTTCAATCATTTTCAATCATAAGGGAAAGGCCAAGAAAATTACAGACATGCCACTGGAGGCTCCAATCGTGTTGAGTCAATGAACCTTCACCTGAAACTATTGACCTCCATTTTTTTTTTAAGATGAAGAAAAAAGAAAGAAATCCGTATTTCTAAAGCTCTGTCAGGTTTTATGTTACTTGGAGTCAAACCCCATGATGATTAATGGATGATGTGTGGATATCTAGTCATTATACCGTTTCTCTACAGTCTCCCATGACTTTTGATATTTTTTCATTTTAGAATTTTTCAGGTTGAGATTTCCTGAAGTGCAATGATCATAAATTTGTCAAATTCAACTCAACAAATGTTTACTATCTCATTCTTCTATTAAACTGTGGGCTGATGAAGGACAATGTTTTATTTATCTTTGCATATCTAGTATTTTGATGAAACATATAATAGATATTCAATAAATTTGTCTTGAATAAATTAATTTACATTTTTCTAACTGTACCAGGAATTGTGTTGGATGCCAGAGAAGCAAATATAAATGTAACATGCTAATTTCACACAATGATATATTTCATAATTTAGATGATATTTACGTGCCTTTTTTTTTCTTTCCAAAGCACTGTAAAACTTTGAGGGCAGGGCCTATGTCTGCTTTGTTCTTATAGATCATAAAGTTTTAGCAAGCAGTTTCAAACGTCTAAGACCTTAAAAGTCTAATGAAATTTAATAAATATGTGTCAGATAAATGTGTTCATAACTTCCCACCTCACGGTTGTATCTGAACTCTGTGAAAATTACCTTAGGAAATTAATGTCCTCATGCTCTTTGGTTTGTGTCTTAGTCCATTTGTGCTGGTATAACAAGTACTACAGACTGGGTAATTTATACATAATAGAAATTTGTTTCTTACAGCTCTGAAGGCTGGGAAATTTAAAGTCAAGGACCACCAGGTTTGGTGTCTGGTGAAGGCTGCTCTCTTTGCCTTTGAGATGATGTCCTGTTTCTGTGTCCTCCTGAGGGAATGAACACTGTGTCCTCACATGGTTGGCAGAATCAGAAGTGGAAAAGGGGCTTAAGCTAGCTCCCTCCAGCCCATTCATAAGGCATGTAATCATTTATCTAAAAGGCTCACCTCTTTATACTACCACAATCAGGATGAAGCTTCAATGTGCATCTGGGAGGGGACACACATTCAAATTGTAGTCCATGGGTTACTTTAATCAAACTCCAATTTTTTAAATATTTACTCCCCTCTTAGTTCATTTAGAATCTTGTCACCATGTTCTGTACACAGTTTTAATTTCTCTCTTTCTCTTTTTCTTTTGATAAGGGTAAACTCTTTTGTACATATGATGAGTCTATAAAGTCTTGACAATTTTATGTATGTAATATTTCATAAAATTTCACAAATACTTTATTATACCTATCCTTTGAAATCAGTATGAGAAAATCTAATAAAATTTTTTTATAATTCTCTTTCTTGAATTTTTACATGAACTCCACATCTCTTTCATATTTATTGGTTGTTGTTTTTTTTTTTTTTTTTTTTTTTTTTTTTTTTTTTTTTTTTTTTGCCAAATCTATTGCCCTTCATAGCTGTTAAGAAGGGAAACTAGAAGTTATCGGTCCTATGCTGGAGATTGACCAGAAGTGGTTTGAAATGGCGTTTGATTGCACTTGTCTATGATAATAAAAATGAAAATAAGTTGTTCCAACAAAAAGATGATTGTACCTGACAAGCAAAGCTGGTGGCTTATTAATAATTAAAAAATATTTCTGTGTTCTGCCACTGATGGAATATTTAATCGCTTGTTCAGTCAATACCAATGTACCATTTATTATACATTAAAGATAAATGTAGTGTAATGGCTATGAATTGCAATGTGTTACATTGAGATTATAAAGGGCATGAAAAGTTGATTTATTATTTAGAAATTGATTAAACTCTTCTACTGATCTCAATGACTGGGATAACCCATCAGATTTCCACAATTAAACAGAGTTTTAACAATAAAAAAAAAAAGGTTGGCGGCAATATTTAACTAGCTAAGGGTAGGATGATCAAGACAGTAACTAAAGTGAAGGCTCTGCTTCAAGGGTTAATGTGAGTTTCTTAGAGAAGAAAGAGTGTGACACCCAGGAATGATTTCCATATTTTCCAAAAGCATTTTCTTCCATTTCTAGTATGAAGATGTCAAAGGCTCTTGCTTTTAGCACAAGCAAATTGCATTCAAGAGCTTTAGATCTGAATCACTTTTTTCCCTTCTCAGGTAGAGTTGGTTGAGTTCTTAGAGAGCTTTAAGAATTATTTATTTTCCTTTCTTTCTAGGCCTTTTGAGTCTTTTACTCACATTAGGGCCAAATATAAAAAAAAAAAGGCTTCTCTTTAATTCTTGTTTTAAGTTTTTCCTACCCTCCGTGCCACTAGAAGTGAAACTCTCAGCTGAGAAGTAATTTCTCTTTTTGAGACCTCAACGGTCTTTCCGTTATAGGCTATGGATGCTACCTACATAAGTTAAAAGGACTTTCATTTCTTTCTAGTAAAATGATGTCAGAAAAAGTTGGGAGAGAAGGGAGAAAAAATTGTTTGTTCTAAGAAAAGGAAGTTTCCAGGATTTCTCCAGTGAATTCACATCTTGTACGTAGCTCAACTAAGAAAACTGAGTTTTAATTTGGGACAAGTTGGTATTTTCTTTGAGAAAAATGGACTTGAAGCCATAGCATACAGTAAAGAGAGCATCTCAGCATCTCAGGGCATTTAAAAGTCACAGTTCCATCTGAAGTCAAGAAGCTTATGTTTTGGTGCACAAATGATTATATGCTTCTTTCTTGCTATAGGAAATTGTGTGTTTTTGAAAAGAAGTTTGAATAGCATCTTGATACAGAAAGATGATATTATGGGAGGGGATTAAAATGGCAATCCGCAACCTGTCCCTTGGTGGCTACTATGGTTTTAATGTTTGTGTTCCTTCAAAATTGATATGCTGAAACCTAACACCTGAGGTGATAGTGTTAAGAGATGGAGTCTTTGGGAGGTGATTACAGCATAAGGGTTCCATTTTAATGAGCTTGTTTGTTGTTTTGCCATGTGAGGACAAAGCAAGAAGATGTCATTTGTAAGAAATAGAGCTGGCCAGGCACAGTGGTTTATGCCTGTATTCCCAGCACTTTGTGATGCCAAGGTGGGCGGATCATGAGGTCAGGTGTTCCAGACCAGTCTGACCAACATGGTGAGACCCCATCTCTACTAAAAATACAAAAATTAGCCAGGCGTGGTGGTGCTCACCTGTAATCCCAACTACTCAGGAGGCTCAGGCAGGATAATCCCTTGAACTAAGGAGGCAGAGGTTGCAATGAGCCGAGATCATGCCACTGCACTCCAGCCTGGGTGACAGAGCAAGACTCCATCTCAAAAAAAAAAAAAAAGAAATAGAGCCCTCGTCAGACATTAAATCTGTCAGTGCCTTAATCTTAGGCTTTCTACCTCTAGAACTGTGAGAAATAAATTTCTGTTCTTTAGAAGCTACTCAGTCTATAAAACTTTGTTGTAGCAATAAGCACAGCCTAAGACAGTAGCAACGGTGCACCAAATCGAAAGCTGCATAAGGACTTCTTGATTTTAGAAGCATGGACTGAGTGACTGCTGTGTATCAGGCACAATGTTAAACTTAAAGCCAATTATGTGATAAAACAGTATAATTTGATGAACATAAGGAATCAAAGGATAAAGACATGATCTCATTGATAATGGGGCAGACTCTCTGACAATTTTCCAGTGTTAGAATGTAAACTATTCTAAAATGAGGCAACATGAAAAGATTTTGATTTTTGTTGGATTTTTATTTTGTTAAATTAAAAAAGTTATAGGCAATCTGCATTCTATATCATCCTCTATCATTTAAACCTAAGATAAAACATGGGTCCCAGGAGCAGATTTGGAAGAAAAGTCCCTTATGCCACTTTGGGTTGCAATTAATTATCCTCATTTTCCTAGAATTTCATTTCTCAAAGTCATGGTGGATACCTGAACATAACTCAGCCCTCATCAAAGTGAGAGGGATATGAACTTACAAAGTATAAGTTCTTAAAAGTGTTTCTCTGAAAGTGATCAGATGCTTGGATTTATTTCACAACCAGTTATCCAGTATGTCCAGATGTGAACCAGGATGCATTTAATTGATTCAGAAAGATTTAATACTTTACATATGTAGCTACTTTTTCTCCTTGTATTCACATTTTCACTGCAGTACAAATGGGTTAACACAATTGGCTAACACAATTGGTTCTTATCATGCAGATTACCAATTAGGTACTCCAATTGATGACCCAATTTCCTTAAAAGCTTTTTAAAAAAAACTCTCTCTCTTTTAGGATTCCAAATATTATCTGGCCATTTTGGGAACTCAGTGTAGATCTAGCTGTACCTGTGCCCATCTCAGAAACAATCATTCTGTTTTCCAAAGATTAACTTAATTTTCTGCCTGTTTTACATTCTTCCTTTGATTATGATTCCCTGAAGCTGATTGAGCCAACATGAGGATGTGTTATACAGCTGACTAATAAGAGTGGCTTCTAGTTAACTAGGTTTTCAAATCACAGCCTCTTCCCTAGTTTGAATTCCCATTTATTCATTAACATTAAACAATGTGTACCCTGTGCCTCTTAGGTCTAGATACTCTTCTAGATGTAGGGGTGCATCAGGAAGCATAGTGGACAACAGTTCCTTTCATATGGAGCTTACAATCTCCTGGGGGTTCACCAAAGGCAGTGGCAAGAGAGAGAATAACAAAACAACTAAATGCAGCAATCAGAATTTTTATAGTACTAAGAGCTATGAAAATAATTAAACCTGGTAATATATATAGAATAGCAGAGTGTTTGTTTAGATTTCATTTGTCTGGATTTAACCAGGGGATGCTTTTCTGAGGTGAGGATATTTGAGCTGAGGTCTGAATGACATAAAATAGCCATCCATGCAAAGACCTGGGTGCAGACAGAACAGTAAGTGCAAAGGCCCTAGGATAAGAACAAGCTTCCAAGTTCCAGTAAAAACAAAAGGGTGGTGTGGCTAGAGAAGCAAGAGTGAGATGTAGTACCTCAGTCTGTGCTCCCAAATGCCAGGCCCTAGACAAACGTTTGTAAGAGTTAAGAAAAAGGAAAGAAACACGAAACGTGGCTTGACAGTCAAAGACAGGTTTATTTTAGATTAAAAACCTGAGAGGGGCTTCTGGCTGATATTTTTTGGTCAGGAGTGCTTTCTCTTACAGACTAGGAGTATATATTGGTTTCAGGGTAAGGAGGCTTATTACAAGCTTGGAATGTTTCTGTGTGGAGGAGAAGTTTTATGATGGGGTTGGAATGTCTCTGGGCAGAGGGGAAGGTATCTTGGGGCTGACATCTTTCCAGCAAAGGACATTATCTTGAGGCTAGCATGTCTCTGGTCAGGGAGGAGTTTGGAATGTTTCTGGTTGAAGATGTTATTTCTGGTTTATTGTTATGCTGACCTTAGCCATTAGGCTCATGCCCTTTGGATTTAGGCAGTTTTTGATTAAGGTGAACTTTAGAATGAGGTGCTTGTCCACGATGGTGATGCTCCTGCCCTGTGAAGATTGTGTGCCACTATTGTAAAGTAAAAACCCGGAGAGCAGAAGTAGGCACAAGGAGGGTGAAACCTAATAGGCACTAGAGCCAATATGAGGATATGTTATCAAGCTAACTCTTATCAGGTAAGAGTGACTGTTGGCTTGCTCTTTAGGAATTCTCTGAGAAATCATATAAACTGTCTCAAGAAGAAGTGAGAAAATTTACCCACCAGCTACCATTGCCCATTGATCAAGTGTTTAAACCACAACATATTACTCCCCTGCACACCTGGAATGTGCATGTTTTGGCAGCAAGTGAGAGTCTTGTTTTCCCACATGGCAGCATCAGTAAAGAAGCCCAGGACAGGAGGTATGGGGCACACTAGGAAGCATGAAGGAAATTGACAAGTTGCAATTGTGTGAGTACAGTCAGGGCCTACCAAGAATGGCATCCACAATGATGACTAGAACAAGAAACCATAAGTCATTTATTGCAGAGAGAGCAACATTCAAAATGGCTTAGGAAAATTAAACAGGTCTCAGAATTTATTCGGTCTTAGGGGTCATGATACAAGGTCTTGATTTTGTTCTAAGTATGTTGGAAAGACCCAGGAGGTTATTAAGCAGAATAAAATTTGATTTGTTTTATATTTTAAATAGATTACTCTGGATTTCAGTAGGGAACTACACGTCAAGGGGTAAGAGTGGAATAGTTTTTTCAGAAAAGTAGCTGGCAAACTATGACCTGTGGTTAGCCCATCTCCTGTTTTTGAAAAAAAATAATTATTGGAACACAGCCACCCTTATTCATTCCATATTGTCTGTGGTTCTTTTAGCACTGCTGAGACAAAGTTTAGTCATTGCAACAGACACCATATGTCCTACAAAGCCTAAAATATTTACTATTTGACTATTCAGAGAAAAAGTTTGCTGAACTTGAGTAATTTTTCTACAATAATCTGATTGTGTTATTATCTAGCCTGCTATCCTTCCATGGTTATCTGCTCTCTCTCTTTTTTTCTGCGTTATCTGCTCTCTTTATGATGTATTATTACATTAACATTAATATATAATAAAGCTTTATTTAGAATGCAAATCTTTCTTCTTTCAAAATGCATGTTACTTTTTATATGCCATGTTGTTTATCTAATTCAAAGTTAAGTGATATGCTAAGAACTATAACCAGTGCTTTATATATGTTAAGTGTATTAGTTTGTTGCAGTTTTTAAAACAGGAAAAATCTCAGTTGCTTACCAGAGCAAACGTTTCTTTTCTTTTGCATAACTTGCTAGCAGTTGTGAGTGAGCTGTGAAATCTCTTCCCCAAGAGTTTTCTCATTTTGGAATCTAAACTGAAGAAATAGCTATTATTTGGGATATACTATTTTCCTGACAGAAGGAAACAATAATAACTTGTGGAAATTCACAAGTCTTCTTAAAGCTTTTGCTTTAATGATGCACACATTACATCTGCTCATATACCATTAATCAATGCATATCAGATGGCCAAACTCAAAATCAATGGAGTGAGAATGTTCATTATTCTGTGGTGGAGTGGATACAGCAAATCACCTGTTAAGGAGGAAGTGAGTTATACTTTTCTAACAGGAAAGGTTGGAGGAGGGGAATCATTGATGTATTGACCCAGCCCCAAATCTTCTTTTTATTGCCTTGGCGTGTGATACTGGAGCTGGACCATGTAAACATTTCTCTTTAGTCAGCTCAATTTTAGTCAATAGAGGGTGCTGGAGGGACACTGCAAAGCCAGAGCAGGAGCAAAGGTTTTCCTTCCTGATTAAAGTTGCAGGATTTAGCAAACAAAATAAAGGATTCCCAGTTAAATTTGAACTTTGGATAAATAATTAATAATTTTGTTATACTATATACCCCAAATATTGTATGAGACATACTAAAAATTATTCATTGGTTAATTCATGTGTAGCTGAATGTCTTGTGCTTTATCTGGCAAGCATATCATGGTTCCAGTGAGGGTTTTTTTATTTTTATTTTTAAATTTTATTTTATTTATGTTTCTGTTTTAAATTTTATTTATTTATGTATTTATTTATTATACTTTAAGTTATAGGGTACATGTGCACAATGTGCAGGTTTGTTACATATGCATACATGTGCCATGTTGGTGTGCTGCACCCATTAACTCATCGTTTACATTAGGTATATCTCCTAATGCTATCCCTCCCCGCTCCCCACACCCCACAAGGTAGCAGTCAGAAGCTCATTCTATAGGAGGCATGGTAGCAGTCACATCAGAGGTCCACTGGCTAGCTGCAGTCTTACCCCCCAGCAAGTTTCTCTGCATACAAGCTTCAAATCAGACCAACAGGATGCATACTCCTGTGGTAAGGTAGATACACCTTCTCCAAAGCATTTGAATCTCACCCTTGAGGGGACAGTCTTCTAAGCAGTTTGTCACTTCCTTGTTCTCTCTCATTTTGGTGGCAGCTGCTCCCTGCATTTGCTATGTGTGTGCCCTTTACAGTCCTCTTTTATCGTTTTTTTTTTTTTTTTCAATTTAACCACCTTATGTCAGTTTATGGTTAGATATACCAAAATTTTCATGTTCAAATTACTGATGTGTTTTTTGTCCTGACTAGACCCTAATACAATTGAGCACAATAATACAATCTATCACACAAGATAATAAATACCTATCAGAAACTACTTAATCCCATTTCACAGATAAGAACATGTCTTAAGGAATTCATACAATGAGTGAAAAGTCACAGACCTAGTGAGTAATAGAAGTTTGATGCAAAAGTAGGTCTAGATGTTTGTAGTTTCATGTACTTAATTTGTCCCTGACTATCTTTCTAGCCACTAAATGGAAGATAATTTCAACATTTACTCTATATAATTAATATATACCCTTGTAATTTATCAGCTGGAAGAGTGAGTGATGCCTTCTTCTGCCGTTTATGCCTGCTGAATGTAATTATTTCATTGTTTCCATAGCATACTTTTCCCATTTTACAGGTAAGAGATTTGGGCAGAATGAAACAGAATTGGGGGAAATTCTGTTACAGGCAAAACTGTGTTCACCTCAAATTTCAAAAGTTAGGCTGGGCACATTGGCTCACGCCTGTAATCCCAGCACTTTGGGAGGCCGAGGTGGGTGGATCACCTGAGGTCAGGAGTTCAAGACCAGCCTGCCCAACATGGTGAAACCCCATCTCTACTAAAAATACAACAATTATCTGGGCATGGTGGTGGTCGCCTGTAGTCCCAGCAACTCGGGAGGCTGAGGCAGGAGAATGGCGTGAACCCGGAAGGCAGAGCTTGCAGTGAGCCGAGATTGTGCCACTGCACTCCAGCCTGGGCGACAGAGCAATACTCCATCTCAAAAAATAAAATAAAATAAAATAAATAAAATTCATAAGTTAAAGTCCTAAACCCCAATACTTGAAAATGTGACCATATTTGGAGATAGGGCCTTTACAGAAGTAATCAACATGACTGATGTCCTTATAAAAAGGTGAAATTTGGACACAGACATATACATAGAAAAAAGATGATGTGAAGAGACAACAAAAGAAAACAGCATCTATAAACCATAAAGAGAGGCCTAGAAAATTATTTTTTCAAAGGCCTCAGAAAAAATTAAAGCTGCTGAGAACTTGATTTTGAACTTCTAGCCCAGAACTATAGGAAAACTTCTGTTGTTTAACAACCCAGTCTATTAAAAGTAATGGCAAAAAACACAATTCCTTTTGCACCAACATAATACTTTCTTATGGCAGCCTCACCAAACTAATATAATCACTAACAAGTATTATTCTTTTCACAGGAAGATGCTGTGAATTTTCTCTCTGATGCTTTTCTAATAATAGGGAGAGGTGTTAAAGTTGTTTTATTTTTCTGTTCTTCTTATGAAAATAGCATAGATTATAGTTGAACTTATTATCCATGAACTTCATGCATGCAGCAAGAGGTTATAACACCATAATACACTCAATGTCTGATATAGGGATTAAAGTGTTACCAACTTGGTTCATATTTCTCGTCTCTATACCTGTATGTGGTTCATGAGCCAGTAGCATTGACATCACCCTGCAGTTTCCTTAAAAGGCAGAATTTCAGGCCTCACTGCAGAATTACTGAATCAGAATTTCCATTTTAACCAAGCCCTTAGGTGATAATTGTGCATATTACTGGTCAGAATTACCCTCTTCATCTACAACAACAACAAAAACACCAAACAACAACAACAACAAAACAACCTCTCATAATTTACCTTTCTTCTTATTTTTGTACATTCCTAAAGTGATATTTTAGACTACTAGAGTTAGCTTCTTGGAAGCACTGGAAATGTTTAGTTGGTTACAAGCACATCCGTTTTATTCACAGCTGGTTTGGAATCAATTAGCTGAAACTGAAATACCTCTAGAAACTCAATAATGTGATAATTGTTCTTAATTATTTCACTGTGAATTTTTTCCTGCCTAATTGTTACTTGGATCATAATAAGTGGATTCTCAAAATCAGAAAGAGTCTTTTGTTTTACCATTGCTAGATGCAAGAAGTCTTGCCACATACATTCATTTTGTAGCTCTTTAATATGTGGATATTTCAACATTTTGGATAAATAGATGAAACCAAATGTGACTCAAAGAAAACCATTTGTGGTTGTGGCATGCAAAAAACATAACATAAGGAATTTCTGGCTATATTAATCGATTTTTGTCATCCTCACTTTCACCTTTGGTAACATTAGTCATCAGCAGAATTTTCACAAAACAAAACACTTAACAAATATTATCTTCTGGATTTGTAACTGAAATAAAATTCTGCTGGAATCCACTTTATTTATGTCTTTCTTTTATATCTTTTTTCCTAACAAAAGGAAGAATCATTCTTCCTTTTGTTATTGAAGTTGTATGTTTTTGTTTTTATTGGGGACATGGAAGAGTTTTCATTTATCTTCAAGTTGAGAAACACATTCAGGAAGAGAATGAAAACCTCACCAATTTTATCTGTGGGATTTGGAGACCCAAAGTATTGAAGACACTCTCATTCGCTGCTAGTGAGAGTGTAAATTTTTGAAATAAATAAAAAGGGGGTACTCTGGCAATATTTACTGGATTTATAATTGTTCATGTATTTTAATTCTACAATTAGACTTCCTAATTTTATTCTAGAGCTATACTTGCATAAGCTCAAAATTACATGTAACAAAGTTATTTATTGCAACATTATTTGTAAAGGCAAACATTTTGAGACATTCTAAATCACTTAAAAC
Organism: Homo sapiens; assembly: GCF_000001405.40. Taxonomy (NCBI): domain Eukaryota; kingdom Metazoa; phylum Chordata; class Mammalia; order Primates; family Hominidae; genus Homo; species Homo sapiens. The sequence goes on along the minus strand of NC_000011.10, from coordinate 41,609,075 downwards.
TGGTTAAACATAAAAGTGTTATATAGTGTGTTTTATATACCACTATTTGTATAAAAAGAGGAAAAGATTGTATAGTTTTAGCTGTTCGTATTTCCATAAAATGTATCTGGAACTATACACAAGAAATAAAAGCATATGAGGAGGAGATATGGATGGACATGATAATTTTTACTGTATAATCCAATTTGCTTTCTGACTTTGGGAACATTCAAGTAAAAATTCAATTGAAAAATAATAAAAGCCAAAAAAAAAAGATTATGTCCCAGTGCAACAGCAACAAAATCAACTGTAAAATTCTGTGGCACTGGATGAGTATTGGAAGGTTTTAGAATAACAATCTGGTTACTACTATAAAGTCTGCTAAAGTCAATCCAAAAAATCCTCTGACTTAAGTTTAATGTTGAGACTAAGCAAGTGTTTGTTTTAATCTTGTGCCTGGAGAAGGTACATATTGTAAAATGTTCTGGGATGACTTTACACTTATTCTGAATTGTAATGAACATAGCTGTCTTAATCTATTTTGCTTGTTTGGTTCTCCCAGTGTTCAATGTTTGCATGACCAAGCTGTGCTAGACAAATTCTGATGAAATAAACTGCATGAATGATGAGCGATTCCCACTGTACCAAAGAATCTAAACTTGGCTCTGTCTATTTCATGCATCAAGGTCTCTTGGCCACTCCCTACTCTCCAGTAATTAATTTCCTAACATGCTTCCTTTTCAGTATGGCAAGCTGCAGGTGCTGGTCACCCACAGGACACCCTCCTGATGGTTATTAGCCATCACTAGTTTCCTGTAAGAATATTCTCCGTAGACAATGCAGGTTACTAATCAAGACAGTAACATTAGATTTTCACTTGAAAAAATGATTTTGGAATATTAGGAGAAGTAAATCAAAGTACAGAACAGAGATTCTATAATAAATAGGCTTTTGAGAAGGTGCTAGAGAGCTTTATGCTTATTCTCTTACAGGACTATATAAATCACTTTCTCCACATTTATCGAGACATAATGTACAGATATCAACTATTTGCTCTCATACAAACATAGCCTACTCTTTTACCTTTTTAAGCCTTTGAGCATTTTGTTTCCTCTAACGGGAATGCCTTTCTCTCACCATCTATCTTCTGAATTACAATTTATCCTTCCAAATAGTTAGTGTCTTTTGAGTGAACTTTCTGGGATTTGCTTCTTTGTGTCTCCCATAGAATTAATCCCTCCTTCATCTGGGCTGTTGCTTTTTGTATATACTCCTGTTCCTACAATGTCAGCATAGTGTTGAAATTATTATTTATATACCTGGGGAACACATTTTATTAAATCTGTTCATGTGTTCTAATAAGAGACATAATTTTCCAATTTATACATTTGATTTTTTTAAAAAGGCTATAAATATAAAATCACAGTAAATTACACATTTTATGGTTCATTCTTGTTAAAAAATATGCTTACATAATATTAGGACTGTCTCACAAAATGTGTGGCCATTGATATATAATTATAAAATAAATATATTTACATATATATTTATATGTATGCATATGTAAATATATATGTAGTACATTTGCCTTATATTTTAGAGTCCATGAAGTGGCATTCATATCTAAAGAAAGGTGTGCCTTCAAGACCTCCTTTATATGCTCCCATCTTCTCTTGTCCTCTAGAGGAAGAACAATGATTTTGATTGGAGAGATTCCAGAACATTTGCTGGGCTGCGTTTGTAAGAGAGTGAGATCACTGGGCTGCAAAGTTTCAGCACATGGCAGTGGATTTCTGTTTCTGTCTCTTTTCCTGCTGGATCTGGCATGTGATGTGTGCCTAGATTCTAAATTGCACTTAGCTCCTGTACTCATTAATTTGGTCTAATCTGGCTCACTGCAGATTTTCATTGATTTGTCAAGCTTAAAGACAACTTATGAATTGACATTTATTTGCTGTAATTTCTTGTGTTTTATGTTCTTTGAGGACGTTGTGAGGCAGAGAAGCAAGACAACCTTAGGCAAGAATCTGAGGTTTCCTAGCTTCCTTACCATAATATCTTCTACTAGTATCCCAATCCCAACATTGCTTCTGAAATCTGGACAATTATTTCATTCCTTAAACGTGTTACAATAAACTCCTATTATACTTGTTTCTTCTTTAAAATGCTTTTATGGTATCTACTTGAATATATATATTTAGACACAATGGAGTTTGAATTGACACACACACCTTTAGGCCAGTATGGTTAATGGAGACTATTGCTATTCATTGGTGTATGGGTAGAAACTCCAGGATTTATAATTATGGATATCTTGAGTTATAGTATTAGTATTAGTGTGTTCATCATGATGTTTGTGATAGGAGTTAGGAAGAGACCCTTTTGGTATATATTATCCACTTAAGGAAATTTTTCAACCTTTTCTTTCTTAAGGGTTCAAGGCTTCAGAGTTGACAACATGAATGATGTCACAGATTGTAGCACAAAACTGAGCACAGATTAATCATTCAAAAAAAATTGTTGGTGAATTACAGAGTTGAATGTTTTATCTTTTTAACACCTGGCACTAGTATAAGGAGGGTACCATAGTTTATAAAGTTTCATGTGTTTTTCCCTCAAGGAAATGAAAACAGGACCAAATATTTTGCCAAGAAATCTAGAGAATTTTATTCCAAGAACTTAATGACAATTTGTACCACAAAAATTCATGTTTACTAATGTTCAAACAAACATATTTCATTAATGAGACCCTGCACGGAATACAGAGCTTGGTTGAATATGAACGAAACAGTTGTTTAAGACTTTGGTCTTATACTCAATCCCAGAGGCTTTAGCAATAGCAATGTTTTATCAACGAAATATAGAAAGTCTGAAAAAAGCCCCTCAGAGTGACTTTAACAACATCCAGGCTGATCCATGTAACACACTTTAGTGTCAAGCTACAGTCATAAAAGAAAAATCTTAAGCAAACATCTAACAACAAGGCACTTATAAGCAAGTCAACATGCAAGGTAGATAATAAAAATATTCCTTCAGCAAGAAATGGCCTTGTTATGCAGTACTCAGAAAAATATAAATGCTGCAGGATTCCTTAAAGACAGAATGTCATTGTCTCCTTGGCATGCATGTGCCTGGGTTTATAATTTAGAGTTGTGATGTTTTTTCCAGAAGTATATGTTTGTGTGTACATGTAAATGTATATTTAAAAATTATAAGTTGAATCGAGCCCACATGATCTTTACTTGGGCTATACAGGATTAATCTGCCCAATAATTATTAAAAAAGAAGGAATTTCTAATTACCTGCCACAGTTCTAGAATTCAAAATTATACATGTATATTTTAAAAACAACAATATTTCAGGATACTTTTAGAAAAATATTGAGATCTGGCCACCCAGAACCTGCATTTCTCTTAAGATACCTTGATTTCATATTTCTAGCCTCCAGAAGCATGAGAGAATAAATTTCTATTGATTTAATCCACACAGTTTTATGTAGCACTTTGTTACAACACCCCTAGGAACCTGAAGCAGTCATAAAATCTTTTCTAAACTCAAAGGCTAGACAGATGCAAAATACACTGACTCCTATTCTAATGGCTTTCAATCTCATGTTAATCTGTTTACATATCTGTCTTCACACTTGGTACACTAGGCTGCTTACCTTTGAAACCATGTCAAAAAGTTGTGTACTTGAAAAATCTGGACTTGTCTTTTTTTTGCTATTATTATGCTTTAAGTTATAGGGTGCATGTGCAGAACATGCAGGTTTGTTACATAGGTATACATGTGTCATGTTGGTTTGCTGGACCTATCAACTTGTCATTTGCACTAGGCATTTCTCCCAATGCTATCCCTCCCCCAAACCCCCATCCCTCCACCCTCTGACAGGCCCCAGCGTATGATGTTCCCTGCCCTGTGTCCATGTGTTCTCATTGTTCAATTCCCACCTATGAGTGAGAACATGCCGTGTTTGGTTTTCTGTCCTTCTGATAGTTTGCTCAGAATGATGGTTTCCAGCTTCATCCATGTCCATGCAAAGGACGTGAACTCATCCTTTTTTTTGAGACAGAGTCTCGCTCTGTTGCCCAGGCTAGAGTGCAGTGGCATGATCTGGGCTCACTGCAAGCTCCACCTCCCAGGTTCATGCCATTCTCCTGCCTCAGCCTCCCGAGTAGCTGGGACTACAGGTGCCCACGACCACGCCTGACTACTTTTTGTATTTTTAGTAGAGACGGGGTTTCACCATGTTAGCCAGGATGGTCTTGGTCTCCTGACCTCGTGATCCTCCCACCTCAGCCTCCCATAGTGCTGGGATTACAGGCGTGAGCCACCATGCCCAGCCGAACTCATCCTTTCTTATGGCTGCATAGTATTCCATGGTGTATATGTGCCACATTTTCTTAATCTAGTCTATCATTGATGGACATTTGGGTTGGTTCCAAGTCTTTGCTATTGTGAATAGTGCTGCAATAAACATATGTGTGCATGTGTCTTTATAGTAGCATGATTTATAATCCTTTGGGTATATACCCAGTAATGGGATCTCTGGGTCAAATGGTATTTCTAGTTCTAGATCCTTGAGGAATTGCCACACTGTCTTCCACAATGGTTGAGCTAATTTACACTCCCTCCAACAGTATAAAAGCATTCGTATTTCTCCACATCCTCTCCAGCATCTGTTGTTTCCTGACTTTTTAATGATTGCCATTTTAACTGGTATGAGATGGTATCTCATTGTGGTTTTGATTTGCATTTCTCTGATGACCAGTGATGATGAGCAATTTTTCATGTGTCTGTTGGCTGCATAAATGTCTTTTTTTGAGAAGTGTCTGTTCATATCCTTTGCCCACTTTTTGATGGGGTTGTTTTTTTTCTTGTAAATTTGTTTAAATTCTTTGTATTTTCTGGATATTAGCCCTTTGTCAGATGAATAGACTGTAAAAATTTTCTCCCATTCTGTAGGTTGCCTGTTCGATAGTTTCTATTGCTGTGCAGAAGTTGTTTAGTTTAAATAGATCCCATTTGTCTATTTTGGCTTTTGTTGCCATTGCTTTTGGTGTTTTAGTCATGAAGTCTTTGCCCATGCCTATGTCCTGAAAGGTATTGCCTAGGTTTTCTTTCAGGGTTTTTCTGGTTTTAGGTCTAACATTTAAGTCTTTAATCCTTCCTAAGTTAATTTTTGTATAAGGTGTAAGGAAGGGATCCAGTTTCGGCTTTCTACATATGCCTAGCCAGTTTTCCCAGCACCATTTATTAAATAAGGAATCATTTCCCCATTTCTTGTTTTTGTCAGGTTTGTCAAAGATCAGATGGTTGTAGATGTGTGGTGTTATTTCTGAGGCCTCTTTTCTGTTCCATTGGTATATATATATATATATATATATATATATATATATATATATCCGTTTTGGTACAAGTGCCATGCTGTTTTGGTTACTATAGCCTTGTAGTATAGTTTGAAGTCATGTAGTGTGATGCCTCCAGCTTTGTTCTTTTTGCTTAGGATTGTCTTGACAATGCAGGCTCTTTTTTGGTTCCATATGAACTTTAAAGTAGTTTTTTCCAATTCTGTGAAGAAAGTCTTTGGTAGCTTGATGGGAATAACATTGAATCTATAAATTACTTTGGGCAGTATGGCCATTTTCACAATATTGATTATTCCTATCCATGAGCATGGAACATTCTTCCATTTGTTTCTGTCCTCTTTTATTTCGTTGAGCAGTGGTTTGTAGTTCTCCTTGAAGAGGTCCTTCATATCCCTTTTAAGTTGGATTCCTAGGTATTTTATTCTCTTTGTAGCATTTGTGAATGGGAGTTCACTCATGATTTGGCTCTCTGTTTGTCTGTTATTGGTGTATAGGAATGCTTGTGATTTTTGCACATTGATTTTGTATCCTGAGACTTTGGTGAAGTTGCTTATCAGCTTAAGAAGATTTTGGGCTGAGACTATGGGGTTTTGTAAACATACAATCAAGTTATCTGCAAATGGGGACAATTTGGCTTCCTCTTTTCCTAACTGAATATGCTTTATTTCTTTCTCTTGCCTGATTGCCCTGGCCAGAACTTCAAACACTATGTTGAATAGGAATGGTAAGAGAAGACATCCTTGTCATGTGCCAGTTTTCAAAGGGAATGCTTCCAGTTTTTGCCCATTCAGTATGATCTTGACTGTGTGTTTGTCATAAATAGCTCTTATTATTTTGAGATACATTCCATCAATTCCTAGTTTCTTGAGAGTTTTTACAATTAGGGGCTGTTGAGTTTGTGAAAGGCCTTTTCTGCGTCTATTGAGATAATCATGTGGTTTTTGTCATTGGTTCTGTTTATGTTATGGATTACAGTTATTGATTTGTGTATGTTGAACCAGCCTTGCATTCCAGGGATGAAACTGACTTGATCATGGTAGATAAGCTTTTTGATGTGCTGCTGGATTCAGTTTGTCAGTTTTATATTGAGGATTTTTGCATTGATGTTCATCAGGGATACTGGTCTAAAATTCTTTTTTTGTTGTTGTTGTGTCTCTGCCAGGCTTTGGTATCAGGATGATGCTGGCCTCATAAAATGAGTTAGGGAGGAATCCCTCTTTTTCTATTGATTGGAATAGTTTCAGAAGGAATGGTACCAGCTCGTCTTTGTACCTCTGGTAGAATTCAGCTGTGAATCCATTTGGTCCTGGACTTTTTTTGGTTGGAAGACTATTAATTATTGCCTCAATTTCAGAACCTGTTATTTGTCTATTCAAAGATTCAACTTCTTCCTGGTTTGGTCTTGGGAGGGTGTATGTGTCCAAGAATTTATCCATTTCTTCTAGATTTTCTAGTTTATATGTGTAGAGGTGTTTATAGTATTCTCTGATGGTGGTTTGTATTTCTGTGGAATCAGCGGTGATATCCCATTTATTATTTTTTATTGCATCTATTTGATTCTTCTCTCTTTTCTTCTTTATTAGTCTTGCTAGTGGTCCATCTATTTTGTTGATCTATTCAAAAAACCAGCTTCTGGATTCCTTGATTTTTTGAAAGGTTTTTGTGTCTCTATCTCCTTCAGTTCTGCTCTGATCTTAGTTATTTCTTGCCTTCTGCTAGCTTTTGAATTTGTTTGCTCTTCCTTCTCTAATTATTTTAATTGTGATGTTAGGGTGTCAATTTTAGTTCTTTTCTGCTTTCTCTTGTGGGCACTTAGTGCTATAAATTTCCCTCTACACACTGCTTTAAATGTGTCCCAGAGATTCTGGTATGTTGTGTCTTTGTTCTTATTGGTTTCAAAGAATATCTTTATTTCTGCCTTCGTTTCATTATGTGCTGAGTAGTCATTCAGAAGCAGGTTGTTCAGTTTCCATGTAGTTATGCAGTTTTGAGTGAGTTTCTTAATCCTGAGTTCTAATTTGATTGCACTGTGGTCTGAGAGACAGTTTGTTGTGGTTTCTTTTTTTTTTTTTTACGTTTGCTGAGGAGTGCTTTACTTTCAATTATGTGGTCAATTTTAGAATAAGTGTGATGTGGTGCTGAGAAGAATGTATATTCCATTGATTTGGGGTGGAGAGTTCTGTAGATGTCTATTAGGTCAGCTTGGTGCAGAGCTGAGTTCAAGTCCTGGATATCCTTGTTAACCTTCTGTCTCATTGATCTGTCTAATGTTGACAGTGGGGTGTTAAAGTCTCCCATTTTTATTGTGTAGAAGTCTAACTCTCTGTAGGTCTCTAAGGTCTGGCTTTATGAATCTGGGTGCTCCTGTATTGGGTGTATATATCTTTAGGATAGTTAGCTCTTCTTGTTGAATTGATCCCTTTACCATTATGTAATGGCCTTCTTTATCTCTTTTAATATTTGTTGGTTTAAAATCTGTTTTATCAGAGACTAGGATTGCAACCCCTGCTTTTTTTTCTTTCCATTTGCTTGGTAGATCTTCCTCCATCTCTTTATTTTAAGGCTATATGTGTCTCTGCACATGAGATGGGTCTCCTGAATACAGCACACTGATGGGTCTTGACTCTATCAAATTTCCCAGCCTGTGTCTTTTACTTGGGGCATTTAGCCCATTATATTTAAGGTTAATATTGTTATATGTGAATTTGATCCTGTCATTATGATGTTAGCTGGTTATTTTTCCTGTTAATTGATGCAGTTTCTTCATAGCATCAATGGTCTTTCCCATTTGGCATGTTTTTGCAGTAGCTGGTACTGGTTGTTCCTTTCCATGTTTAGTGCTTCCTTCAGGAGCTCTTGTAAGGCAGGCCTGGTGGTGACAAAATTTCTCAGCATTTGCTTGTTTGTAAAGGATTGTATTTCTCCTTCACTTATGATGCTTAGTTTGGCTGGGTATGAAATTCTGGGTTGAAAATTCTTTTCTTCAGGAATGTTGAATATTGGCCTCCACTCTCTTCTGACTTGTAGGGTTTCTGCCGAGAGATCTGCTGTTAGTCTGGTAGGCTTCCCTTTGTGTGTAACCCAACCTTTCTCTCTGACTGCCCTTAACATTTTTTTTCTTCATTCCAGCCTTGGTGAATCTGACAATTACATGTCTTGGAGTTGCTCTTCTCAAGGAGTATCTTTGTGGCGTTCTCTGTGTTTCCTGAATTTGAATGTTGGCCTGCCTTGCTACGTTGGGGAAGTTCTCCTGGATAATATCCTGAAGAGTGTTTTCTAACTTGGTTCCATTCTTCCCATCACTTTCAGGTACACCAATCAAATGTAGATTTGTTCTTTTCACATAGTCCCATATTTCTTGGAGGCTTTGTTCATTTCTTTTTATTCTTTTTTCTCTAATCTTGTCTTCTTGCTTTATTTCATTAATTTTATCTTCAATCACTGATACCCTTTCTTCCAGTCAATCAAATTGGCTATTGAAACTTGTGCATGCGTCATGAAGTTCTCGTGCTGTGGTTTTCAGCTCCATCAGGTCATTTAAGGTCTTCTCTACACTGTTTATTCTAGTTAGCCACTCGTCTAACCATTTTTCAAGGTTTTTAGCTTCCTCGTGATGGGTTAGAGCACGCTCCTTTAGCTTGGAGAAGTTTGTTATTACCGACCCTCTGAAGCCTACTTCTGTCAACTCGTCAAAGTCATTCTCCATCCAGTTTTTTTCTGTTGCTGGTGAGGAGCTGCAATCCTTTGGAGGAGAAAAGGTGCTCTGGTTTTTGGAATTTTCAGCTTTTCTGCTCTGGTTTCTCCCCATCTTTGTGGTTTTATCTACTTTTGGTCTTTGATGTTGGTGACCTACAGATGGGGTTTTGGTGTGGATGTCCTTTTTGTTGATGTTGATGCTATTCCTTTCTGTTTGTTAGTTTTCCCTCTAACAGATCCCTCAGCTGCAGGTCTGTTGGAGTTTGCTGGAGGTTCACTCCAGACCCTGTTTGCCTGGGTATCACCAGTGGAGGCTCAGTTGGAAATGCAGAAATCACCTGTCTTCTGTGTCAATCTCGCTGGAAGCTGCAGACTGGAGCTGTACCTATTTGGCCATCTTGGAAGTGACCAGGACTTTTCATTTAATATATGATCTTTGAAAACATGTCTAGTAATTTTATTATAATTGGTGCACTTTAAATGATATTGTTTTCATCTTATAAAGATGCATAACTAAGTCCTTGATAAATTTTGCTTTTGATTTTTAAGGAAACTTGTAAATTCGGAGTAACATTCACACCACTGACATTAAAGAAAAGTATCGACTAGCAATTTTCTTTGAAACTGGTTTCTTCAAACTTCAGTGGCAAAAACTGCTCAATGCTTCTCCAATAATCATTCTACATCTCTTTATTCATAGTACCATACATGTTGGCCATGCAGCAAAATTTTGACTAATGAAGTATAGTCAGTGGTCTGAACTTCTGGGAAATCTTAAAAGTGGGTCATCTAAACTGTGATACTCTAGAGTTTTGCCCTTTCCCTTCCTCCAGCCTGGAATGTGAACTAGATTGCTGGAATCCTAGCAGGCATCTTGTGACCATAAGATGACAGGGACCCCTTTGAAAGGATAATAAAATCCTGGGTTGCTCACTTTATATAAATTCTGAACTGGTTGTCTCTAGTTTCCTTATTATGAGAGAAAAAAATCTTTCTAAAAGCCATTGTTATTATAGATATGAGTTTGTTGCAGCCAAACTCAAAACCTTGGTAGATCCTCTCATCTAGCCTCAGGTTAATTTTATAAGCATAAGAATTAATACTGATTAAATTTTAACATGTGCCACACAATTTAGGTGCCACTAAATAGTCCTTAAAATGTAGGACTGTTATTATACACAGTTTGCAAAAAAAAAAAAAAGTTGAGACTCTAAAGAAGATATAATGACTGGTCTTATGTAAGATATTGGGCAAAGTATTTTATCTTTTCATGACTTGATTTCCTTAACCTGAAAAAGGAAAATAATAATGCTAAGCTACATTCTAGGATTTTGGTGCCGATTAAATAATCTGAGAACACTGTGAGGTAATGAGGGCTACATAAGTGTCAGCCATTATTGAAATTTTAATGGATACCTGCTCTGACTACATAACATTTTAAAGCCCATGTGATACAATGTTATCTTTTCAACATTTTTCATAAAAGTAAATATCCTAATTTATAATGAATATCTGACCTCTTCTGTCTTTTAGGGCAGAAGGACATAATCTCATTTTCTGAGGCAAAGATATAGAAACTGCCATTGCAATTAACCAAGTGCCTCTCAAATACTTCTAAGGAGAACAAAGTAGACATTATAGTCTCTATTTGTTGTAAAACAAGGAACATATAGTTCTATGATTTGTCTAAGTGCTAATAATAAGGGATAAATATAATTCTCAAACTAAGGTCTTTTAATTCTGAGTTCAGTGATTTATCCCACAACACCACAGCTGCCTCAGCTTCTGTACATTAAACATGAGTGTGTGTGGATGTATGTGTGTAACTTAAAGAGACCATACTTTGGAATTGTATCCCTATTGTTCCAATTTTTAAGGCAGCCAGTATTTAAATCGCCTCAATTAAAATGTCTACAGCCATAAAATTGTTTTACGTTTTGAATTTACGTTGGTAATATCTTCATACCTCTTTTTGCAATCATAATTCCAAGTAATGTTACAATGTTTGAACGTCTTGAATCATCTTGCCATTTTAAATTTCTACTTTTAACTTATTTGTCATATAGCGTATACATAAGAAATCTCTTGTTACCTGTAGAACATGTCACACGATAATATGTTTACACTTTTCCTTCTACTTTTCTTTTCTAGTCAAGCTATGTTGCTTGTATGAGAAATACCAGCTTTTTGTTTAGAAAAGTAGGATTTTACAATTTATCAAGAAAGAACACAGGCATTGGCTATGGTCTGACCAGCATGTATTGGTGCTGGTATCACAGATAAGACACAACACAGAAAAGAATAACCTCTCACCCATAACCTCTGCATTCCCCAAAGGACCATGTGTCTGGGGGAAGACCAAGGAGCAACTTAAATTTCAATGTCAATATAACCTTGCGAGCTCTCTGAAATTTCACTGACAACTAGCTTTCCATTTGTAATTGGAGTGAGGTGTAGCTGTCATGCTCTGCAGGCAGGATCCATGGAGAATTGCTGTTCAAATTGGAAAGGAGTTTCCTCTCATTAAAACCAAAAGAAATCGAGTGTAAATAGCATGGCTGTTAAGAACAACCACATGGTATTGGCTCTTCTAATCCCGAGAGCTATTCTCTAATTCCAAGAGGGACAGTGGATGGAACTGGAAGAATAGCTTTTTTCTTAGGCTATTAATATCCAACTCATGGGGGTCCCTAAAGATACAATGCTCAAAACAGAGATCTTAATGATGAGACAACAGTGTACTAGAATGAGAAAACAATTTGGATTAAGATAATATGGGAAATAAATCAGAAGTCACCTCTCCTTTACAATAATTCTTCATCCTTTCCATATTTTTCTATAAATACAACTATTAATGGAGAACCTTTCATGTTCTTGTCACTTTATAACAATTATTACATTTTAATCACAACCAGAGTAGGTCAGAAACATGTTAAAATATTTAACATCTTAGGCTTTAGAAACAAACTTCTGAGGTTCAAATATCTGTGAGATCTTGGCAACTGTTTACTTATCCACCTTACTCTTCATTTTCCTCCTTAGCAAAGTTTTCTTACCAACAAAAATGGCAGTATTTTCCTTAAAAGCTTATACAAAACAATTCCCATAAATACAGGATAGTGTCTGGCATAGATTAATCACTCAAGTGCTGTTACTGTTGGGATCTATTTTACAGATGAGGAAACTGTATGAACACTCTCCTAAGATAAGACAGTAGTTGTGATACACAAGGATTTGAACATAGCCAATCCTACTCAGGTATTTTAAATTCTGTTTTAAATTTTCATAGGATTATTGTGAAAATTAATAGATGCAAGGTACACTCTAAGTGCTCTCTAGAGTGTACTTTCATTATTTTTCTAGTTGATTTGAGATAGAGTCCCTCTTCTAAGTTAAAATACATTTTCACCTCAAAGCTTTGTATGTCTTTATATTTGCCTCAGTTGCACTAGTAATAGGATGCCAAATCCAACCTTTTCTGTGGTTTTAGCAGACACAAGGTCAATAAAACGGTAAGTACCAAGTCCTTCCATATTCAACAGTGATGTGATATAACATCCATTAAGAACTTGTAAAGGAGATGGGTCAAAAGTAGATCTACCAGTATTAGGCATTTATACATTTCCAGTGTATATGACAATGAAAAGGTGCAATTTATTTATTAGCTCAACACCAGAAAAGATTTGGGACTGCTCACATATTTCAATGGTGAGGACAAAAGTAACTAGCCTACAGTACCAATGCGTAGGAACAATGAGAGAAAGAATGAAGTTGTTTTCAGCTAAAATTATTTTGGAGTTAACCTGCATGAGAAATCAGTAACATATTAGTGGATATATGTCTTATATTCATTGTCTGCACTATATTATAAGTTTTCTGGGTGCAAGAACATGCGTTCTTTGCTTATGGGTCCTTACAGTTTATACCAGAGTTTGTGATCCACCAATATTGTCGGTAGATTGAAGATGCAATTACTTAGAGTTGTTCAGACAACGTCATTAAACTCAATGATTTTGACGACCATTGATGAAAAAGCAGGACTTTGATACGGATTATATACTACCATGTACATATCATGATTTCTGTTTCAGCAACTCTTTGGACCAACTGTGTACACTCACAAACAACTCCCATTGATTTGCAAGTGTGTGCACAAGACTGAGGGCAGAGTGTTGCCTTCAAGGTCATTAACTCAATGTTATGTATTCCATGCATTTCATCCTTAGATAGTCATTCTATCATCTAATTATGTAAGCTTGGAGAAAAATTAAATTGATGGGTGATTATATCATAATTGCCTTTCAGATAGTTAGAAGTAAATTGACATTGATAACTTCAATATTACATAATGGGACAAACTGAACTCTGCAGAGAAAGGCATATCTGAAAGCTTGTGGCTTCACAGCAGTACAACTAACATAGTAAAAAAAAAAAAAAATCAATATAGGCCAGGTGCGGTGGCTCATGTCTGTAATCCCAGCACTTTGGGAGGCTGAGGTGGGCAGATTGCTTGAGCCCAGAAGTTTGTGACCAGCTTGGCTATCATGGCGAAACCCCGTCTATACTAAAAATACGAAAAAAAAAAAAACATTAGCCAGGCCTGGTGGCGCATGCTTGTAGTCTCAGCTACTTGGGAGGCTGAGGCATGAGAATCACTTGAACTGGGGAGGCAGAAATTGTAGTGAGCCGAGATGGCACCAGTGCACTCCAGCCTGGGCAACAGAGCAAGACTCTATCTCAAAAAAAAAAAAAAAATACAGTAGTTGTACCTTTACAAATGAGCCAATGTTTAAAATGTGAAAAATTTCACATAAAATTGAAATATTCAGCTTCTATTGAAAAATTATTATACCTGGGAACACTGGATGTGTATCTTACATAGACACTATTTTCTTTAGCCTGGGAACATCTGAGTACTTTAGACTAAGATTTGTACCCTTCAGACTGGAACAGTTTACTCCAGTCACAACCCCTCATACAATATATGGATAAACACTTACACATAGCCTGTGTCACCCAGGTACCTTTCCTCCTCAGGCACTTTACAACTTTTTTCCTACAGCATTGATCTTGAGTACATGAATTGATGTGTGGAAACAAATTTCACTTGTTCTTTCTGGTCTCAAAGTGTATATTAGGGTAGGATGAATTATTAATGTCAGGTGTACTGCTTCTCATAACCAACTGCTTCTCATAACCAGACTCACTGCAAACATCACTACTTATGGCACTTATTCTTAAAGTTCAAATGTGGCTGCAGAATCTTTCTTAATCTGAGTAATCCAGGACATCTAAGTAAATGCTCAGAGTTGGCATATGAGGTATATTAGTTATTTATTGGTGTGTAACCATATTATTAATACCACAAACTTAGTGACTTATGGCAACACATATATTATCACACAGCTTCTGTGGCTCAGGAGCCTGAACACAACTCAGCTGTATCTTCTTCAGGCTCTCACAAGGCTTCAATCCAGATGTTGGCTGGGGCTGGATTCTCAGCAGAGGTTCCACTGGTGAAAAATTTGCTTCCAAGGTCATGTAGTTGTTGGCAGCAATCTGTTTCTTATGGATTGTTGGACTGAGGTCCTCAACTTCTTGATGATGATTGAAGGCCAGTTCTCAGTTCTCTGCCATGTGGGGCCTCCAATGTGGTGATATGAACAGGATACAGGAAAATACTGGGTGGAAGAGCGAGGTTCCCTGGCAAAGGCCCCACCCTCAAGCCTGGAAACCTGCTGCACTAAATGGAAACAGGCATTCCTGTTTTCATGCCCGAAAGTTGCCTTTTGGTGCACTCTGCCCCTCTATTCTGTACCCATATAAATACCAGACCCCAGGTTCCAGAAGCAAACAAGGAGATGAAGAGAAGAGCAGAAGAAAGGCAGAACAGTGTGGCAGAGAAGGAGAGAAGAGAAGGAGCATTTGAACGCCAAGAGGAATTTGGCTGGGGATAGTTAGAGAGGTGATTGGCCACTGGACGGCTGAACTCCAGGGGAAGATCATCTTCCCACTCCATCCTCTTCCCAGCTCCCCATCCATCCTGCTGAGAGCCAGCTTTACCATGAAATAAAACCCATGCATTCATCATCCTCAAGTCCATGTGGAACCTAATTCTTCCTGGATGTCAGAGAAGGACCTGGGTACCAAGAGGGCACTGGGCTGGTTAACACTTAAGTCACCTGTGGACAGCAAGGCTAAAATTGCAAACTGTGAAACATGCCCACTTGGGCTTTGGGAGTTGCAGCTTCCCAGCCCTGGAAGCTGCCATGGGATCAGAGCCCAGGGGCACTTGCCCCAGCTCCTGCACCTGCCTGTCTTCATGTGTCCCCTCTCATAAGAAGTTTGAGCAGGCATGGGGGCCATACAGATGAGCCACATCCCTGTCACACATCCAGAGAGGAGCATCAGGGAAATTTCCTGTTTCATTGGCAGCTTCTTTACTCAAAGGCAGCAAAGGAAAGAGACTCTCCATGCAAGATGTGGTACCAATCTTATGTAATGTAATAACATACACATAATAACATGTATTTGTCACTTTTGCCATATTCTATTGGTTAGAAGCAAGTCATAGGTCACAACATGCCTAAAGGAAGGGGATTACAAGGGAGTAAATACCAGAAAGGAGGGATTATAGGAACCACCTTAAAGTCTATTGACCACATGAGGTGAAACTACTTACCATGCCTGACAAAGGCTCATCAGTATTAGTTATATGGAGGAGAATTTTGATTTTGCTTAAGAAAAATACATTTAACAATTAGAGCAACTTGTGATGTAAGTATGATGGCAGGGACAGTTCATATAGAAGTTTGTAGCAGGAGATGGAAACATTTAATGTAATGGAGTGGGGTTAAAATTTGGCTACTGGAAATTTCCTTAAAGGCCTAAAATTCTGTGATACTTCATTACCTTATAAAAAGTCATAATATTGTGTGTTTTACATGGAAAGAGAAGAGAATGTTTGGTAAGTGCCTTAGTCCATTTGTGCTTCTATAACAAAGTACCTGAGAATGGGTAACTTATAAAGAATAGAAGTTTCTTTCTCCCAGTTCTTCAGGCTGGGCAATTCAGGATCAAGTTGCCAGTAGATTTGGTGTCTGCTGATGGCTGTTTTCTGCTTCCAGAATGGAATCTTGTCACTGTCTCGTGCAGGAGGGATGAACATTGTGTCTTCACATGGCAGAAAGTAAAACAGCAAAAAGGGCCTAGCTAGTTTCCTCCAGCCATTTTATAACATTGCTAATCCTATCCAGGAGGGCTCCACCTTTGTGACTTAATCATCACATAAAGGTCCCACCTTTTAATACTATTACATTGGGGTTTAAGTTTCAACATGATTTTTGAAGAGGACACAAACATTCAAACTATAGCAGTAGATATTTCAAATTCATAGTTTTGGGTTCATTACAAAAACTGCATAATTGCATTTGATAAAATATGCATAATTATAATTATAGAATTGTAAGAATATAAAAATAGAAAATATTTCCCAAAAGTATTGATATGGACAGGAGACAGGGAAATACTGGGTAGAAGATGGATGTTCTTTGGCAAAGGCCCCATCTTCAAGCCTGGATACCTGTGGCCCTAAATGAAGACAGACATTCCTGTTTTCATGCTCCAAAAGTTGTTTTTTGGCTCCCCATTTGGGGTTCGTACCCATATAAACCTCAAAACCCAGGATCCAGAGGCAGATGAGCAGAGAAGGAGATGAGGAAATGAGGAGATGAGGAGACAACAAGACAAACAGCAGAACAGCATGGCAGAGAAAGAAGAGAAGGAACATCTGAACACCAAGAGGAGTTCAGCTGGGGGGAGGTTGGAGAGGAGTTTGGCCACTGGACAGATGAACTCCAGGGAAAGATCACCTTCCCACTCCATCCCCCTTCCAGCTCCTCATCCATCCCACTGAGAGCCACCTCCACCACTCAATAAAACCCCTGCATCCATCCTTCAAGTCTATATATGACCTGATTCTTCTAGGACACTGGACAAGAGCTCAGGACACAGAAAGCTATCACATTGGCCCACTGCCCTTGCAGAAAGGCAGAGGAGTCATTGAGCTGGTTAACACTTCAGCCATCTGAGGATGGCAGAGCTAAAAGGGCTTTGTAACACTGGGGTCACAGGCACTCACCTCTAGGCACTACCATGGAGCCAGAGCCCAAAGCACTCACCAGCTTCTGCACCTGCTCGTCAGCATGCTCCCCCTCCCATAAGGGGTTTGAGCTCACTGCAGCTGAACAGAGAGCCGTATCTCTGTCACACACCCTGAGAGGCAAGCTGGGGAACTCTCCTGTTTCAGTATTTATTGAGTATCTACTGAATGTTTGAGGCTGTTCTTTCAGTGGAGGATACAGAAATAGCTGATGACATATTTTCTTGACTTTACAGAGTTTACAATTGATGCTAGAGAAATGGGGTTCAGAATAATGGTAAAATAGGGTAAAATAAAATATTAAATCAAATGTCACACTGTAATAGATACACAGTAGTCTGTCTCAGTCTTTTTCTTTCTTTCTGACTGGAAAAGTAAAAAATGTGTAGAAATGAAACTCCAACATTATAAATATTTTCACTACTGTTGATACTTTAAATAGGGAGTTGCTGAAATAGTTGGGAGAGATGTTTTTAAAGCTACACTTGAGAAAGAGAGCATTTCATTGTGTCTTGGAGAATAGTAGAAAAAGACAAAGGTGTTTTTTATTTCCATTAGCCATTTTATTTTTGTTAGAAGCCATGTAACTTTTGAGATTCACACACAGAAACAAAAAGATATTAAATGATTCTCACACTATAAAACATTGTAACCATTATGCATTTTGATTGCAGGTAAAAAGTCAATTAACCACTGGTGGGCAATATCCAAAATTGATAGCAGAAACAGAAAAATAAAAGACTACTCAGCAAAGACAAGTAGAGTGTAAGCATCACATAGGCTGGAAACTTTGTTTGCTGTTTTCTGTTTGTTTGTGTCCGTTCTCTTCTGTATCCCAAGCATCTGGAATGAGGACTGGCACATAGCTATTGTTCAATAAATGCTTGTTGATAAATAAAAATGCTGGAATTATTTGACTTCTCTTTATCAACTGTAGGCAACACCAAACTTGTATGCAGGAAAGAAAGATATAGGATTAATGAAATGAAGAATTTGGGGATGGTTTACTCTAACAGTATTATCTTGACTCTCATTTAGGATCTATATTTGCATTGAAAGATGCAGGAAATATGATTTGCTCCTGCACAGAATGTACTTAAATCTGTGTTTCTGAGTCTGTTATTAAATGTGGCACTTATCTTAATGAGCACATGCCACCTTTCTCTCTAGGCAGAGCCTCTTAACACAACTGAAATAGCCCAGCAATTGCACAGAGGAAACTGCAGAGTCCTGTCATATCCCATGATACAATTAATCTCTGTGATTAGGTGAATTTAAACAAAAAGGTATGTGTTTATCTTCATGATGCACAGAGTGGCAGTGGCAGGTGGCTCCATTTCCCAGAATATGGTTCCAATCCAGGATGTCATTTGGAGAGACATCAGTTACCACAAAGAAGTTACGTCTTGTGTGAAACTGAAGAAGGTGAAGTTCATCGTAGGGGTTCCCTCGCACTTCTCTTTGGAACACCTTAAATCCTAGGCACCCGCCTTTGTCTCAGAATTCAGCTGGTGTCTGATGTGGAATAATTTGTGCCCCCTGCCCAGAAAGATATGTTGAAGTCCTAACCCTGGTATCTGTGAATATGACCTTATTTGGAAGTAGGATATTTGCAGATGTAATCAAGCTAAAAATGAGTCATCCTACATCTAATTAATGGTGTCCTTATAAACAGACTGAGATTTGAAAACCCAGATGACAGAGGGAAATAGGTCACTTGATGACCAAGGCGGAGATTGCAGTGATTCAACTGCAAGCCAAAAAATGCCAAGGATTACTGGCAACAAGCAAAAGCTAGGAAGGCACAAGGAAAGATATTTTCCTACAATCCTCAGAGGGAGCATGTGTCTGTAGATGCCCTGATTTTGGACATCTGGCCTCCAGAGTTGTGAGGCAATTAATTTTTCTTAAGGCCACCTAGTTTGTGGTAATTTGATATGGCAGCACTAGGACATTTATATGATGCCTCAGGTGGAAAAAATAGGCCCTATAGTTAGAAGTTTCCTTGACTAATCTTGCTCACTTCGGTGCCTCATTTCTACTTTCTTTCAGGGAGCATGAGCTCTGACTTGGGGAAGGAGTATTCTAAGCTTCCTTTCAGAGCCAGTAATTTTCTTCCAGTTAAAAATCATTTAAGCTAAACTAACCCTTTTTGTTCATTCAGGCTGTGTGACAAAAATATCATAGACTGCGTGACTGAAAAAACAAACATTTATTTCTCACAGTTCTGGAGGCTGGGATGTCCAAGGTCAAGATGCTGACAGATTGATTGTCCCTGGAAAGCCTGCTTCATAGATGACCATCTTCTCCGTGTGTTCTCCCTGTGTTCTCAGGAGTGGGGTTACCTTTCTGGTGCCTCTTTTTCATAAGGACACTATTCCCGTTCCTGAGGGCTCCATTCTCATAACACAACATCCAGAAGGTCCTACATTCTAATATCATCATACTGCAGGTTAGAATTTCAGCATGTTAATTTTGGTATGACACATTCAGTCTATAGTAGCAACCCTCCCTTGAAACTCAATGCTCTGTGATGAGGTTCAGCGAAACCTAAAAGTATATCATATAAAGCTGAAAAGAAAATAAATTGGGACAACTGTTTTTGGAGGGGAAGCAATTTAGCATAATGTGCTAATATGTAAGTATTTAAAAACATTTTCATTTTTAGAAAATATTGCTAAAGGAATTACGAAATATGTACACAAAAACTTAGCTACATGGGTGTTAAGCACAATATTGTTTGCAATAGGGAAAGGTTTAAAAATGGAAATATCTATGAATATCAGATTATTAAATAAATTATGTTTTTCCCATATGAGGATATACTACATAGGTATTTAAAAATGAAGCTGTGGAATAGTCATTTTATTTGATTAAGTTTTAGTTGTATTTTATTTATAATTCACACATAATAATTATACATATTTAAGGAATACAGTGTGATGTTTCCATGCATGTATACATTATATAACAATTAAATCAGGGTAATTAGCATACTTTAAACATTTATCATGTTGTTGTGATAACATTCAAAATTCTACCAGCTATTTTGAAATATACAATATATTGTTATTAGCTATAGTTACCCTGCAATGGAATAAAGTATGAATAGTCATTTTAAAACTATGCTCTGAAGAGGATGCAGGTATCTCAGGAACATTTCAGTGAGTTTTTTAGGAGGTGAGTCGAAGCCAGGATCCTCTGAGCTTTGCCCCATTACCTTCACTTAACCAGATCTGCTCTATTTTATCTCTTTGATATGCTGAGTTTCTGAGTAAAATGCCTTTTGAAAAAAAAATTGTTATGTGTTGATTTCTGTCCCCACAAAAGTTGTTGAGGTCCTAACACCCAGGGCCTGTGAATGTGACATGATTTGGAAATAGAGGCTTGCAGGTGATCAAGTTAATCATTATAGTGGGCTCTAATCCAATACAACTATGTTTTTTAAAAAATGAGAATTTTGGAAACAGAAGCAAACACACAGGTAGACGACCATGTGAAGATAGAGGCAGAGTTCAGGGTAATGCATCATAAGTCACAGAAAACCAAAGATTGCCAGCAAACCAGCAGAATCTGGGAGAAAATAGTATAAAGCAGACTTTTCTCATAGCCTCAAGAAAGAACCAACTTTACCAACACCTTGGTTTTAGACTTCCAGCCTCCAGAGCTGTGAAAGAACACATTTCTGTTGTGTAAGCCACCTTCGTTAAGGTTGTGGTACTTTGTTGCAGTAGCAGTTAGAAAGTAGTGCATTTCTGGGCTGAAAGAAAGTTTGATGCTCCTTTGTTACAAAGAGATATACATAGTAAATATATACACAAATTATTTGTGAACTCTTAAGTCAATGAATTTTTCCTCTTAATATTTTCTTTCTCTTGGTTTTCTCACTGTTAGTCCACCTATTGAATAAATTGTGTTCATTGTTTCAGGAGGAGCTATGGTAATGGTAAAATAATAGGGTTGTTCTTGAGCTCTGAGTTTGAAATCAGTATTTTCTAGTCCATAGCTGAGGTCAGAATGTAAACCTTCCACAAATCATTTATCATCCCACTCCATCAAAACTCGGTGAATACGAACAGACTCATATGGATTAGGGGAAATTCCAGAACAAGAAGTTCCCCTTTACCCTAAGTGCAGATTAGAAGGACTCAATTGTCTCTAGAAGCTTGTTGGGCAGGGAGCATAAGGTTCAACCTGGGGTTATAGGTGAGTAGTCAAGCCACATCATCAGATCATAAGACATGAGAATCCTGGCTGCTCTAGGTTAATTGCTTTATTTTTTTTTTCAGACAGAGTTTTGCTCTTGTTGCCTAGGCTGGAGTGCAATGGCACCATCTTGGCTCATGGCAACCTCTGCCTCCAAGGTTCAAGCGATTCTCCTGCCTCAGCCTCCCGAGTAGCTAGGATTACAGGTGTGCATCACCACACCTGGCGAATTTTGTATTGTTAGTAGAGATGGGGTTTTGCCATGTTGGTCAGGCTGGTCTCGAACTATGGACCTCAGGTTATCTGCCCGCCTCAGCCTCCCAAAGTGCTGGGATTACAGGCATCACCCACCACGCCCAGCCAGCTTTATCTCTTGAAGCCTGTAAAGCTCTGTCTTCTGTGGCATTTAAGTTGTTTGTGAGCATTGTTGGGTATGGTAGCATGTATTACTCACCAACAAATATTCCCTCCCCCTTACCCTCAGCTGTGAGAAGCATGGATTTCCTGCCTCATCTATTGTGATTTTTGCCATTGAAAGTAATGGCAAAATTATTTTAATAGCCATTACTTTCGATGGCAAAAACCATGATTACTTTTGAACCAGCCTAATACATTGGGCTCGACCATGTGATTTGCCACAGGCAATTAAATATGCTGAGACATGAGGGCACATTTGAGCAAAAACTTTAAATATATGTAAACTCTTGTTCTTCTGCCCTCTGCCATGAGAAGAATATGTCTCAAGTAACCATTCCTCTTTCAGCTTGGGTCCTCATATGAGAGATGTATGGAGAAAATACCTAAATCTATCTTATAACCTGGAGCAGAGCCACCACAGCTTCAGATATGTAACAATTATGGTGTTTACTCTCTTGAATAATTTTATTTTGCTTATTCAGAAACCTCAGCAAATAAAAATCTTTTTGGAAAACTTCTCTTGACAATTGTGTGAAATTTTACAGCTATGCACATGGCAACCCTCTGATCATCCTGTGTTTCAAGGATAATTTTTTGATTTCACTATGCAAGCCACAGTTTCTCTGCCTATAAGGAATTTAGCAAACTATGATCATAAATCCAGGGGCCCTTTTTTGCCTGGTATCAATTGCAGCAGCTATAACAATGATGTGCATGCTTACTTCTTCATCGGGGGCAGATTCCCTTCTATTTATTTTGAGACACCCTATTATTTTTTTAATGGTAATATTTTATGCAGTGTTTCCTCTCTGTGGTGGTTTATACCAACTTGGTCAGCTATTTTACCATTTGGCACCTCATGATAAGATTTTTAAAATTATCTATTTATTTGTTTTTAATTGGAGTTTCTCAGCCACAGTTGCTACTCAGCAACTCCCTCCAAAAGCATTTGGAAAATGGAGGAGGCATTTTACATTTTACAACAAGTGGTGAGTGCTATTGACACGTAATGCCCAAAGTCCCGTGAGGCTAACTGTCCTGTACTGTACAGTAGAGTCCCATACAACCCTATTTTTTCCAACCTAATTCTCTTAGGGCCATTTGAGAAATGTTGCTTTAACATAGCATCAACTATTGGCTTATGAAATCAGTGACTGTATTAGTCTGTTCTCACGATGCTAATAAAGACATACCCAAGACTGGATAATTTACAAAGAAAAGATGTTTAATTGACTCACAATTCAGCATGGCTGGAGAGGCTTCAGGAAACTTACAATCATTGTGGAAGGGGAAACAAACATGTCTGTCTTCACATGGTGGCAGGAGAGAGAAGAATGAATGCCCAGTGAAGGAGGAAGCCCCTTATAAAACCATCAGATCTCATGAAAACGAATTCACTATCACTAGAACAGGATGGGGAAAAGTGCTCACATGATTCAATTATCCCCACCTGGTTCCTCCCACAACATGTGGGAATTTGGGGAACTACAATTCAAGATGAGATTTGGGTGGGGACTCAGCGAAATCATAGAAGCTGTGGTATCCATGAAAATCCCCTATTATGATCCACTGGGGTGCTTCCTAGCTTATGAGAGGCAAAAATCAGAGAAACCTAGGACAAAAATAATAAAGTGAGAAATTTTGAGAAAATTATTGTCATAGACATCAGCAGACAATCACTGAAAAAGCTAACTTTGATACTACCTTAGGGTAATTTTACGAGGCCTTCCCTGGCCCTCAAGACTCATGTTACATGGATGAGCCATCTTTCCTATACATGAGATTCCAAAAGAGTGGGAACTTGGGAGCCTTCTTCTATGCCACTCAAAAAGGGAGTTTTAATAGTCTGTTCCCACAACACCAGCCATCCAATCACTGGGAAACCACTACCTCAAGACATGACAATAACCAGACTTACTACTGATGAGCGATGATGATATTTCTGCCAAAGCAGAAGAGTTAAATAAATAGAAAGTTAAATAGAACACTGAACAAGAAAGAGAGATAAGCAGATCAACAAAAGGTATAGTGATGTTTATATGCCGTGCAAAAACTATGATTTCTAATAATACATTCATGGCCTGGAAGATAAAATAAAAGAAATATCTTAACATAGAAAGCAAAATTATTGTATAAAGACATACAAATAATGAATGAAAATGTAAGAGGCTGACAGGAGAGCTCTAGGAGACCCAGCGGACCAAGCTTGCAAATTCAAGGACACCCAAAAGGGTAGAGGTCCCAGAAAGGGAGATGAAAAGAGGCAGTTTTGAAATACATAAAAATTACTCTAAGCTTGAATTACTATCAAATTGTTAAAATTACCCTAAGTTAAAAGAACATTAAATCTGATTCATTAGAATAAAAGAGTTCACATTGCAATTTGAGTTGGTGATTAAAAAAGAAAAAGACCCATCTAATCAGAGCTTCATACATTTCTGAACTATAGGCATAAAGAAAAACTCTTGCAAGCTTTTAGGGACAAAGAATAACTTATCCCTAAAGGTGGAAGCAATCAAGTGAATGTCATTCTTCTCATCTGGAAGCTAAAAGCTGTAACATAATATCTATGTCATTTTGAGAGAAAGGGACATCTACCCAATAATACTTTGCCCTGCTGATGAATAATTCAACTGTCAAGAAGAAAAAACAAACACACATATTGTGGTTGCACAAAAATCCCTAGTTACCATCAATGTTCCCTGTGTGGTAAAAATATCGAGAAAGAACTCTGAAGTGTTGATGTCCATATGTTGTAGTTGTCCATCGGTTTATGAACATTATTTCTGTTTGGAAAATGTCATTTGATTTGTCAGGATCTTTTGCGGCCCAGGCAAAGCAAATAAACTATGTTTCACCAACCATGTGTTCTAGAGCACTTGGGTTCTGTAGAGAATGACTTGTAAAAAGGAGGTGTTGCATGGAGTTCGCACAGCAGGGAAGATGAAGAGGTAGCCAGTTTTCGGATGTGGCTGTGACAGGTACCTGATCTATGGTTCTTGTGCTCCACTATGGCAACATGAGAGGCTTTTCTGGAGCAGTCTCATGGGTTCATGTAGGCACGGAATCTGGTATGTGTCCTTCAAGTCTGATTTTCTGGACATCCCTCCGATATGTAACATTTTTTCTCTTATGTCAACAAAACTTGCATACATTATAGGCCACAGGGTAAAGCTTAAAACATTAAAGCAGTAGAGTCTTTATAGGCCCGTTCTCTAATTATGATCCAACAGAAATGAAAATAGCCAGGCACAGTGGCTGAGTTATGCCTATTGTTCCATTATGGGAACACTAAGCATGTGGGAGTTATTTATATCCTACTGCTCAAGGTCATCGCCAAGGTCTCTTTGCAAAAATTCAAAAAAAATGCAACCTCAGCCATAAATGGGTTAATATCCTTATTTTTTGTTTGTTTTAATTAAGAATATGTTTTACTATTTACATTCAAGGATCCTAACTTATAGAGACTCTTACGAGGCCTGAAACAAATCAGAACAGAGACTTCAAGATAGGTGAGGGGCAGACACCTATAGTCCCAGCTACTTGGGAGGCTGAGGCAGGAGAATAGCTTGAACCTGGGAGACAGAGGTTGCACCAGTGAGCTGAGATCGCGCCACGGCACTCCAGCCTGGGCTAAAGAGTGAGACTCAAAATAAAAAAATAAAAATAAAAATAAAAAGATAGGTGAAGGAAGATAAAAATGAGAGTAAGTTGTAAGTTTGGGGCACAGTTAATAGTTAAATGTCGAGGAATACTAATACATTGTCTGGGAATGTATAATATAAATCCATATCAGAACTCATGACTATCCGGCAAGGGAGAATCTGTAACAGTCTACTAATACAAGTATTAAACTATTTCAATAAAACTCAGAGGCGATTGGGGAGAGTTGAAATAATTTAAAAATTTTCTGGTTACTGTACTGTTGTAGTGTGTTAGGGAGGGTCCTCCAAGAAAGAGATGCCAAGATAAGATTGAACATGCAAGGATTTTATTAAAAAAAAAAAAAACACTTGTGAAGGAAAATGAAGAGAAATCAGGGAAGATGGAGAGAGACATCAGACCTTCATGCACAAGTGATTCCTAAGTGAGGGAGAAAGGGAAACGAGTTGGGGTGGGGGCAATCTAACCAGCCATGCAATCCAAGGAAGGTGTGGCAAGTCCTCCGAGGAGTCTTTGAGCCAAAGTCAGACATCAGAGGAGTCTCCTGTTTTCCAGAAACAGGCTGTAGCACCTCTGCTAAGTTAAGCCACTGACTGGGAGCAATCTACAATGAGCATTGTCTTAGCCAAACACATTGATAGATTTCAGAACACAACAAGTAGAGCCCTACATCAATTCGACTACCTGTAGTTAGACATCTGCAAGGTGCATTCCCATGGCCAACATGTGTGCGTATATGAGGATATAAAAAATATTTCTTCATGGAAGAAGTACTTGGACTCATTTAAAATAAATAATAGAGAAATATAAGTTTGAAAAGGGAAGGTAACAATGAATTGAAAAATAAAATAGAACATCTGTTCTTTAAAAATATAGACAATATGAAATGAAAAGAAACTTTATTAAACCAAGAAATCTAAAAAATGAATAGTGAACAGCAAGGTAAAATAATATTATATGGAAAATTAGACAGAATGAATAAATGAATATTTCATTAATAACATTGAATGTGAACATACTGAGTTCTTTGAAAAAGACAAAGACCATCAGATTTTTTAGGTTGTATTATATTTATGGTAAACCAAATTTAAAAATAAGTGTGACTGAAAATAAAAAAATGAGCTAACAAATACCAGTCAAATGAAAACTAAAGGAAATTGGGATTGGTAACATTCAGGAGAAGAAGGATTTTTTATTTTAAAACCCTGTAGTGGATGGTGCCGTGTCCCTTAAAAAGATGAATTTAAGTCCTAATCCCAGTACCTATGAAAGTAGCATTATTTGGAAATAGGGTTTTTGCAAATGTAATCAAATTAGGGTGGGGTCATACTAGATTAAGGTGGACTCTAAATCTAAGGATTGGTATTCTTATAAGAGAAGGGAGCAGGAGATTTGGACAGAGACACAGGGAAGAGGACCATGTGAACACAGAGGCAGAAACGGGAGTGATGCAGCTACAATCCTAGGGATGCAATGGTGGCGGGCAACCACCGGAAGCTGGAAGGCTCAGGGAAAAATGTTTCTCTAGAGCCTTCAGCGGAAGCATGGTCCTGCCAATGCCTTGATTTTAGACTTCTAGCCTCCAGAAGAGTGAGAAAGAAACCTTTGCTGTGTTTAGCCACCCATTTCATGGTAATGTGCCATAGCAATCAAAGGAAACTAACACAAACTTTGAACAAGACAAACAGAAATAATTTTTAATAATAAAAGCTTAAACAGAAGATATTACAACTATGCTGTCTCATAAGATATCCACTAGTCATGTATGGCTATATAAATTTAAATGGAGATAAATTTAAAAAAAATAAAATTTAAAATTTTGTTGCACCAACCACATTTCAAGTGTTCAATAGCCACATGTGATTGTGGTAACCATATGGGACAGCACAGATATAGAATACTTCCATCACAGGAAGTCCTACCAGACAGCTCTGCATTACAGTTATAGGTAAGTAGAGGTATAAAATTGTAGCTAAATATATGAAGCAAAACCTATTACAATGCAAGAAGAACTTGATAGAAAAAAAGGGAGCTTTTAATATATTCCTTTAAGAATTAGGAAAATGCATATAGAAAAAAACAAGTCAGATAACTGAATAACTCAATCAGTCTACCTAAATATGCATCCCTCAGATATGTAACATTTTTTCTCTTATGTCCACAAAACTTGTATACATTATAGGCCACAGGGTAAAGCTTAAAACACTAAAGCAGTAGAGTCTTTATAGCCCCCTTCTCTAATTATGATCCAACAGAAATGAAAATAGCCGAGCACAGTGGCTCACGCCAGTAGTCTCACCACTTTGGGAGGCCGAGGCCGGTGGATCACCTGAGGTCGGGAGTTCAAGACCAACCAGCCTGACCAACATGGTCTCTACTGCAGAAACAAAATTAGCTGGGCATGGCGGCGCATGCCTGTAATCTCAGCTGCTTGGGAGGCTGAGGCAGGAGAATTGCATGAACCCGGGAGGCGGAGGTTGCAGTGAGCTGAGATTGCACCATTGCACTCCAGCCTAGGCAACAAGAGCGAAACTCCCTCTCAAAAAAAAAAAAAAAAAAAAGTAATGAAAACAATTAGTGTAGAGTTTTTAAAAATTCACTCAACTGTATGTTTGTAATTGAAAATTATGTCCCTAGAAATTCCTTTAATTAAAGAATATTTACAAAGAGAAATTTCAAAATATTTCAATAGAATGGAAGCAAAACATAAATACTACACAGCAAAACTTACAGATCTCACCAAAAAATTGTACTGAGTAGAAAGTATATAAGCCTACTCATGATGGAAGATTTTTTAGAAATTGAAAAGAAACTTACTACCAATCTTGATAAATAATAAAATTCAACAATATGAGCCAACAGATATGAAAAGTAGGAATTATACAGCTAAAGTTAAAATATATATATATTTTTTGTAGAAACTGATTATTACGCCCAAATGCCAATACAAGGCATTATTGAGAGCAAAATATATAAGGTCAGGAATAATAAAGAAAATGAATCTTTCTCTCTCTCACACACACACAGAGGAGATAGTAACAGGATTATAAGATAATACTATAAGAAAGTTTATGGCAATATTCTTGAAAACCATCTACAGGAATTTGTGTTTTTCAAAAAAAAAAAATTACCAAAATTTACCTTTAAAAGATTCTACTATTAAAAAGTCCCTGGAAACAGATGGGTTCAGCTAAATTGTATCCAATTTTAAAAGACAGAATAATTTAAGGTAGCTTAAACTCTTCTAGAACATATAAAAAGATTAAGGAATAATGCTTTATACATTTAATATAAATAATTAATTTAAAAAATTAAATATAAAGTTAATGTCAAAACTGACAAAGATGAAACAAAAAGAAATTATTGATTTTTCTACCTTGTGAATTCAAATGCCAAAATTATTCTTTAAAATTTAGCAAATAGAATCAACAAAATAATTATATATGCTATGACAAAGCCGGATTTACCCTAGGAATTCAAGAGTGGTTCAATATTTAGATCTATTAAGATAACTCATTATATCGACACTTAAAGGTTTTCCTCTAATCTCATTCCCTTTCCATCTCAGTTTGCTTTATTGGCTGTTTCTCTTCTGCCCTACCTATGAATATTTGAATGCCAAAGATAATTGAATATGAAGTATGGTTTGTGGACCAGTATCACCAGGAAACTTGATAGAAATGCCAGAATCTCAGGCTCACCACTGGACCTACAGAATCAGACTCTCCATTTTAACAAGCTCTCCAATTGATTGGTGTACACATCAATAGCTGAAAAACACTGACCTAGGGATGCGTAGTAGACCTTGTCTGTAGCTACATTCCCTGCCTAACCTGTATGAACTCGTTTATTTACATGTCTTAACGTGTCACAGTAATCTCACTGATGATGCTAATGACTAATAGATACACAACATCATAATTCACTTTGAGGTTCCTACTTACTAGACATTTAAATTTAATATATCCAAAATTGAACTCTCCATTACCCCTAGTCTGATCAAACCTGATCTTCCCTCAATAAGCAGCATTCACCTAATTGTTCAAGCCCAAAACTTGGAGATATTCTCATAACTCTTCTTTATATCATATCTTATCGTCTATCTATTATCAAACCTTGTTGACTGTGTTCAAATTTTATCTCAAATCCAACTTTTTCCTATGACTTTCAGACTTCCACTAAGGTTGGCTTAACTCTTGTTAGACACCCTCCATGGCCTTTACTGCATGGAAAGGGTTGTAACTTTTGAGATTGGTAAAGGTACTCAAGGCAAGCTTTTTATCTGGGGCATGACAGAGAGGTTTTAAGGATTAAGTTCACTATGTGTTTGAACATTATAAATTTAACATTCAGTGGCTTATTCCAAAAGTAAATACAGTAGTCCCCCCTTACTCATGGAGGATATATTCCAAGACACCCAGTAGATGCCTGAAATGACAGGTAGTGCTGAACCCTATGTACACTACGATTTTTCCTATACTTACACACCTGTGATAAAGTTTATGAATTAGGCATAATGAGGGATTAATAACAATAACTATGGTAAAATAGAACAATTATAACAATATGCCAGCATTGCTACTCTTGTACTTTGGGGCCATTATTAAGTAAAATAAGAGTTACTTGAACTCAAGTACCTCAATACCATGACAGTCAATCTAATAACCCAGATGGCTACTAAATCACTAACGGGCGGGTAGCTTAGGCAGTGTAAATACACTGCACAAAAGGATGATTCATGTCTCAGGCGGGACAAAGTGAGAAAGGGTGAGATTTCATCATGTTACTCAGAAGAGTGCCCGATTTAAAACTTATGAATTGTTTATTTCTAGATATTTTTCATTTAATATTTTTGAACTGTGGTTTGACTCAGGTCACTAAAACCTCAGAAAGTGAAACCACAGATATAGGGGAGACTGCTTTAGCTGTTTCTACAGAGAAAGAAACTTAAACAAAGGAGGTCAGGCCTTGTATGAAGTCGCTCAGGCTGTGGCAAAAGTCCCGTTGGTCTTCTCAGCAAAAGGGAGGAGGTGCTTTGGTCTTGGCAGTCGTAGGAGGAGATTTAATAAACACAAACCAGCTCTACAGATTCAGCAAATGAACAGGACGGAAGGGCCTTTCACAGTCATGGCAGCAACCGGAAAGCTACTACTTCATCTTGTTAAACACGCACAGCCTCTTCTGAGCAGGAATTGCTAGGGCATGAATTTACAGGAGATTCTTCTCATTTACATACCTTTGGCTCTTCTTACGGTGTTTGTCAGCCATAACAAGTTCTGCAGAAAATTGTTTCTTTCAGACATAGTCTGTCCAAAATTCTGTTCAGAGTTATTGTTATTTTGAGTTGTCACCACTGACTTGGAAGTAAACTTTGGAATAATTAACCTTGAATTCATGTGGCTTGCCATGGGCTCAAGCCATTCACAAGCTCGATTTGAACATAAATGCTCTGATAACAACTTTAGAGTTCTCATACTTAAATTTTGGTTTCATCCATAGAAGGTAGGTAAATTTTGTTGATAAAAGATTTGGAGTACTTTTTGCAAATTGTTATTAAGATGATACAGCATTTTCTTGGGTTGAGTCTGAAGAAACAAAAACTATAAAATACTATAAGCTTAAAGGCTAAGAAGGCTCCTAAAGTGTCCTATAGTTATCACTGTCTCTAGAAACTGAGTTCACTCACCATGTCAGGAAGACATTATAATGTTTAAAAAAAGTTTTCATTATTTGTTTTATTATCAGAGCTGGAAAAGTGCAAAAGACTGCAAAAAAATACAGCTGAGGAGATAATTTTCTTTAGGCTATGGGTGAGAAATTTAGTGGCAAGATTAGACATATAAAAAGAGAGGAGAATTCTATCTTAAGATTCTAGATGGACAGATTTAAATAGATAAAGAAACCTCTACTTTTAAATCTTTTTCAAAAAGAGATGAGAAAAATGCACTTCTAGATCTCATCTGATAGTAGATCTGAAACAGGTGAAAACAAAATAACAGGGAAAAGAAGCACCACTTCACTTCACAGGACTCTGTGATGATTCTCCCAGAGACAGACAAGAGCCAAAAAATTATTGCAACTTCTCTTTTTAAAGTCATATTTAGAGATCCTGTAGTAAGGATCACTGGGAAAACACCTCTCATAGATTCAGATAGCAATGTGAAAACATGATTCGGAAAACTGTATTAAAAATAGGATGCAAGATGGCTACTGAGATGGGCATAAAGTACTCAAATAACTTCTGAGAAACTCAGCTACCATTTGTTTTTTGTTTTTTTTTTTGCTGTTGTTGTTGTTTTTAGGTGAAGATAGTGGAATTGCCTGATTGTGCCCTGAGGAAAGTGCTCCAGAAATTTAAAGAATTGGGATGTTAATGAAAGGCACAGCCAATATGAGGCATACTTTAGAGAACATAGAAAGGACCATGATAGATTGAGTCCAGGTTTGGGTTAGATATTAGTCAAATAACAGAGTGTCTCTGGGGTAGGATTGTTCATCTCAGGGAAGTGAAAGTAGACAAAATTGAACAATGACTGATTCTGGCAGGTGCAGAATGCACCTATTTTTTATAATGGAGGAATGTGCTAAAAAATTCTGGAGGAAGACATCAGCAAAACAAACATCTGGGCCGGGAAGCAAAGGGAGAGGGAAAGGAAAGCAGGGGCTCGATGACTGCAAAACGTCAACTAACCGTGCATGTGGTAGCAAAGAAAAAGAACAGACTTATAAGCAAGGTGCACTGCTAGGAATTTAATGGAGCTTCCTACAGGGAGGCAGGGAACACAGAGAACTGAAATTTCAGAAGCACACATGAGGGACCTCCTGGTGAGATAACACAGCAGATTCCTTAACCCTACACTCTCCTCAAAGCTTCTAATTTTCCCGGCACTTAGTATTATTAGTTTCCCTTCACTCTCTTCTAATAGGCGTGTAGTGGTATCTCCCTGAAGTTTTAACTTTTATTTCAGTAATAGCTAGTGACACTGAGCTTATTTCATATCCATATATTATTGTTGGTGAAGTTTCTGTTCAATTCTGTGGCCTGCTTTTTTATTTTCTCGATGTACCTTTAGAAGAAAAGTTTTAAATTTTTATGAAATCTATCTTTTTTATTATAGATCATGACCTTGGCGTTATATATAAGAACTCCTTACTTATTCCAAAATCACACAGATTTCTTTTGTGTTTAAGTTTTTTGTTGTTGTGGTTTTAGGTTTATAGCTTTCAGTTTCAGATTATAGGTCTATATTATTAGTATGCAGTTTTTAGGTATTATCTTTAGGTTCATGAGATGGGTTGAGATCTGGTTAAGATTTATTTTTGTATGTATGGATGTCCAATTCTTCCAGCACTATTTTTTGAAAAAATTCTCTTTCCACCAATGATTTGCTTTTATAATTTTGATTTAAATCAGTGGACTACGTATGTTTGGATCTGTTTCTGAACATTCTATTCCGTTCCACTGACCTATGGTAGTGATCTTTCACCAATACCATACTGTCTTGATTACTGCAGCTTTATAGCAAATTTTGAAATAAGATAATGTTAGTTGTTAAGCTTTGTTTTTCTTTTCCACTTTGTTTGGTTATTTAACTTCCTTTCCTTTCCATATGAATTTTAGAACCGGCTTGATTTCAATGAAAAAAATTTCTGCGGATATTTTGTTTGGAATTCCTAAAAGCCTGTAGACAGATTAGTGGGGAATAGAAATCTATGCTACAGTAAGTCTTCCAATTAATCTTAGTATAGCTTTCAATTTATTTAGATCTTTGAATTCTTTTTGAGTGTTTTGTCGTTTTCATCATCAGATTCAGTACATGTTCTGTTCGATGTATATTTAAGTATTTCATTTTTGAAGTTACTGTAAATTATATTGGTGTTAAAAATAGCTGCCTTCAAATAATTTTATACTGCTTCATGTGTTATACAAGAGCTTTATAACAATATATTCCCAAGTTCTTCCTCTCATCCAATATGATACTCTTCTCATGTATATAACTTTGCATAGTCTATAAATTCAAATACATTGTTAATTTTTTTTTTTTTTACTTTAGAAAACCAATTATTTTTAGGGCAACTAAAATGAGAAGAAAACACACATATTTATCTAAATTTTAACCATTTCCATAAATAGTTTTTGTGTAAGCATGTGTGTGTAGAATTGTGTTTCTGCCTGATATCAGACTGAATAACCTTCTTTTATATTTTTTAATATAGATGTGTTGATAATAAATTATTTTAGAATTTGTTAGTCTGAATAAGTCTCTTCTTTCATTTTACAAGTACATTTTCAGTGGATATAAAATTTGGGTTGACAAATTTTATCTTTCAGCACCTTAAAAATGCCAATTTTTATCTTCTTTCTTACAAAGTTTCTGGCAAAATCTGCTGTAACACTTATTTTTGTTCTCTCCATAGAATGTGTTTTGTTTC